>NC_000023.11:49085837-49348394 GCF_000001405.40 Homo sapiens | reverse complement strand
GAATTCACAATTTCACAAGATCTTACACTACGTATTCAGCTCTCCACACGGAAAAACTAGGATGAAGCAGAGGGCCCGCTCACTGTCTTACTGACAATGAAATCTCAATTCAGAGATTTTCAGATGACTCGGGCCAGGGTTTCATGATTTGTGATTAACAAACCATGCGAAGCAGATGATCTCTGTGTCCCACGCATTCTATGCAACAGGATCAGAGTATGAAAGAAACGGAATGCAAAATGGTTTTAAAATCTCTGACTTAAACTCACTATTTTCATAAGAACCAAAGATAGGTTTAGAAGGGAAAGGACTCACTCAGAATCTCGCCAAGGCTGTAAGAGCTGGTATTAGAACCCGCATGAGTGCTTCAGCATTTTTCACACCAAGTGATGGGTGTTACAAACGTGTTATGTATTGATTAAAAGCAGACCTTTACAAAAGCATCTGAAAATTGTGAGCTACTGGTTTAAGGATTTACACTCAAAACTTTTAATTCAACATAGCTTTGACTCAGTTTGTTTCCCTACCTGACAGTCTATCAGTCGGGTGCTGGGGCCTGAACTACGTTTCAAATAACCTTTTATAATTAATTTCAGTCACTCAAGGTTTTCCGTGGGGAAAAGATTTAAGAAGCAAATTGTTACCAATTTGACCCAAGCCATCCCATTACTGGGGTATATACCCCAAAGGGACTATAAAATCATGCTGCTATAAAAGACACATGCACAACGTATGTTTATTGCGGCATTATTCACGATAGGCAAAGACTTGGAACCAACCCAAAATGTCCAACAACGATAGACTGGATTAAGAAAATGTGGCACATATACACCATGGAATACTATGCAGCCCTAAAAAATGATGAGTTCATGTCCTTTGTAGGGACATGGATGAAACTGGAAATCATCATTCTCAGTAAACTATCGCAAGAACAAAAAACCAAACACCGCATATTCTCACTCATAGGTGGGAACTGAACAATGAGATCACATGGACAGAGGAAGGGGAATATCACACCCTGGGGACTGTTGTCGGGTGGGGGGAGGGGGGAGGGATAGCACTGGGAGATGTACCTAATGCTAGATGATGAGATAGTGGGTGCAGCGCACCAGCATGGCACATGTATACGTATGTAACTAACCTGCACAACGTGCACATGTACCCTAAAACTTAAAGTATAATAAATAAATAAAAGGAAAAAAAAGAAGCAATTGTTCATTAAAAGCCAGAGAAACCCTGCCTGGGCAACACAGTGAGACCTCATCTCTACAAAAATGAAAACAAAAAAATGTAGTCAGGCACGGTGGCTTGTGCATGTAGTTCCAGCCACTCGGGAGGCTGAGGTGGGAGGACGGCTTTAGCCTGGGAGCCAGAAGTTGCAGTGAGCTGAAATTGCATCACTGCACTCCAGCCTGGGTGACACACTGAGACTCTGTCGCAAACAAACAAACAAACCAAGAAGAGGGAGAATTCACAATTTCACAAGATCTTATACTACGTATTCAGCTCTCCACACGGAAAAACTAGGATGAAGCAGAGGGCCCGCTCACTGTCTTACTGACAATGAAATCTCAATTCAGAGATTTTCAGATGACTCGGGCCAGGGTTTCATGATTTGTGATTAACAAACCATGCGAAGCAGATGATCTCTGTGTCCCACGCATTCTATGCAACAGGATCAGAGTATGAAAGAAACGGAATGCAAAATGGTTTTAAAGTCTCTGACTTAAACTCACTATTTTCATAAGAACCAAAGATAGGTTTAGAAGGGAAAGGACTCACTCAGAATCTCGCCAAGGCTGTAAGAGCTGGTATTAGAACCCGCATGAGTGCTTCAGCATTTTTCACACCAAGTGATGGGTGTTACAAACGTGTTATGTATTGATTAAAAGCAGACCTTTACAAAAGCATCTGAAAATTGTGAGCTACTGGTTTAAGGATTTATACTCAAAACTTTTAATTCAACATAGCTTTGACTCACTTTGTTTCCCTATCTGACAGTCTATCAGCCGGGTGCTGGGGCCTGAACTACGTTTCAAATAACCTTTATATAAGAACTCTGTTACTAAAGACGCAGTATTGTTACCTCTCTGTTATTAAAAATATAATGCTGGGTCGGGCACGGTGGCTCTCGCCTGTAATCCCGGCAATTTCAATGGTCGAGGCAGGTGGATCACCTGAGGTCAGGAGTTCGGGAACAACCTGTGCAACATAACGAAACCCTGTCTCTACTAAAAATACAACAATTAGCTGGGCGCGGCGGAGCATGCCTGTAAGCCCGGCTCCGCCAGAGGCTCAGGCAGGAGAATCACTTGAACCCTGGAGACAGAATTTCCAGTGAGCCGAGATGGCACCACTGCACTCCAGCCTGGTCTTCAGAGCGAGACTCCGTCTCAAAAACATAGTAAGAGTTACAGTATGATACTGTGGAAACAGACACCCTACAATGTGCATGCCTAATGGATTGCCTACCTTCTTCAGGCGTTTTCACCTCCTCTGGATTTGGCGGGTCCATCTCCTGCCCATCAGGACCATCTTCACACTCACACCCAGTCTGTGGGTGACCCTGTTCCTGGCTATGAGCTTCAGGCTTCGGCCCTTAAAAATAAAAAATACGTATCAATTTAAGCAGTAAAACATAAAATATGAATAAGAAAATGATATTCATGCTCTCGGTATTATTATATAAAAGCTTTAGCTAACGTAATAATAAATGTGTTGATAAGAATCCCAGGAACATTATTTCAGGAGTCCGTTAGCAGAAAACAGGAAAACAAGGTGTTCCAAATATTACCCTCCTCCTTTCCGAAGACTGCCCTCAGACAACTTTGCTGCCTCCTTTGCACTTCTCTCTTATTCTACTTCTGATTGTCCTTCTCGTATTAAATGACTCAAGGCTCAAATCCCGTCTCTCACAGCACTTACACTCCTAGCGCTTAGACTCTTACATGGCATGAGTAGCCACCAATAAACGCTGAGTGAGAAAACTCTTTTAAAAATACATGAAAAAGCCCAAACTGCAGAATATTCTGCAAACCAACTGGTCTATCCTCTCCAAAAATGTCCGTATCGTGAATGACAAGAAAAATTAAGGAAACATTACAGGTTAAAGGAAACTAAAAACACCTGAAAAGCACATGCAAGGTGTGATTCTGAACTGGACTCTGGATCAGAAAAAGAAATCCTATCAATAAAATTATCTGGGCCGGGCGTGGGGTCTCACGCCTGCAATCCAAACATTTTGGGATGCCAAGGTGGGCAGAGCAGGTGAGGCCAGAAGTTCAAGACCGCAGTGGCCGGCGCCTGTAGTCCCAGCTACACGGGAGGCTGAGGCATGAGAATCCCTAGAACCTGGGAGGTGTAGGTTGCAGTGAGCCGAGATCGCACTACTGCACTCCAACCTGGCCCACAGAGAGAGACTCCGTCTCAACAAAGAAAAAAAAAAGGAAAAAAGAAATTTTCTGGGGAACTGGCAAAATTTGAGTATGCACTCTGTATTAAATGACTCCATTTTCTCATTGTTAAATTTCCTGATTTTCAACTTTGTGCAGTGATGATCCAAGAAATGACTTTCTCTTTGTTCTGACGATATACACACCCTCAAGTACATAGGGTAAAGGACCATAATCCCTGAAACTTTATCGAGACAATTCACCATTAATAACAGTAAACATATATCCGTATGTGTGTGTGAGTGTGTGTGTGTGAGTGTGTGGGCAGCACGGTAAGAGACGGAGGGAAGAGATGTGAAACCTATGAAGCGAAAGCTACTAACAATTGGTGAATCCAGATGAACAGTATATGAGTTCATTGTACTATTCTTGCAAATTTTCTATAAATGTTACGTCTTGAAGATACATACAGTAAAAATTTAAAAGAATATATGATAACTGCACTGAACTTTAGGAAGAAAGGAATTTCCAATTGTGGTAAAAAATACAGATATCCTAAAATTTACCATCTTAACTATTTTTAAGTGGTACAGTTCACTAAGGAGTTACGTTTGCAACATTACCAGCCACTAGGCACAAAAACTTTGCATCTGTGTTTTCCTATACCATGAAAACTTTATTTATTTAATGAATTTATTTATGTGTTTATTTATTTATTCATTTATTTATTTATTAGCAATGAGGTCTCACTGTGTTTCCCAGGCTGGGCTTGAACTCCAGGACTCAAGCAATCCTCTCACCTCGGCCTCCCAAGTAGCTGGGACTATGAGTGCATGGCATTCAGCCCAGCTTTAGACCTTTCTCCTAAATGACAATCTAAGGATAAACCACAGGACATGTATAATGCTTATATTCAGCCCTAGAGTACCAACAGCAGTGTGCGTCAGCTGAGAAATCTGAAGTCTACCACGTGGGTAGGATTTCAGTTACAATTACAATGTCAGTTTCTGAAGGATTGATTAGCTGGATGGATTTGAGGACTATGGAAAATCTTACAGTCACGACACCCATTACCTATCGGGGTAAAGAGAAACTTCACTTTGTTCAAATAAAGTTATATTTAGGTCCGAAGGTCCTAAAGGTAATATTCCATAAATGAACCCTGTGAAGAACAAAGCACCAAATATAACATTGTTTGTGAATCACAGAAAATATACTGTCCCCCGCACTGAGAATAAGGGAGTGGGCGGACAGCAATTAATGGGCATTGTTGTCAGTCAGATTCTAGGAACTTTTAACAGTGCATCCCTGGAATAATCCACGACCTCCGTTACATAAATGCTTCCTTTCAAAACATTTTATCTCGGAGAAATTATTTCCATCTCACGTTAATCTCAGGATAATTCCGTTTTTGCTTTTCTAACCATAAAAGGATTTAATCACCTCCTAAAGGCCGCTGAGAAAAATCACTAAACCAGCTACCTGTATGGCAGTATCCTCATTTATCCAGCTTTTATCAAACGTACCATATAAAAATATCAATCAAAGGAAACGGGGGCCAACATTCAGCGACTCGGTTTTTGGAGCTGCTCCTGCTCCTCTGAACTGGGTCTATTCTTGGGTCAGTACTAAGCTACCTTACAGTAAAGCCTTTTGAGTTTTAAGCATTTTCAGCAAAATCACTTCCTTCTTTCCAGCAACATACATGATAGGAAGACACAAACCTTAGAACACAGTACAAATGTTGTATTCACCAGTCAAGGGTTCTTGGATAACACACAATCCTGGCACCTCCATTCTCTCATTCATAAAGTCGAGAACTTTTATCATAGTGAGGGATTTGCCTAAGCTAAGCTGCAAACTACATAGCCTCCTCGCTTTTCCAGTCAATTTCAGGCATTCTTTCCATTGTTTTCTTTCCTCCTCTTCCTCCTATGTGACAATGCCTAACACACACACACGTGCACACACACACACGAACACACACACACGCACACACCAGCAGACGTTCTTCTTCCCTTTCCCTCACCTTGACCTGCAGATGCTCCCTCATCCTCTCCCTCCTGAGCAGCTGCAGGATCCTGACGTTGAGTTGCTGGTTCCCCTTCTTCAGGTGTTGCTGGTTCCACTTCATCACTGAACTGCTCGGGCTGGGGAATACGTGTGGGTGTGCAAATAAAAAATAAGTTTCGTTATTGATACAAAATTTTACATATATACACAGAATACATAGCTATTTCTGGTCATAACTAAGCCTAAAGACATTTCTCCAACTCTATGCTCTATGCCCAATAAGGTTACTCCAACCACAGGGAGGTTACTGTGAGAAAAGTGACACACGAGGACTTTGGGGGCTATTATACTCTGTGTTGGAATACATGTGTACAATCTGTCATTAACAAACAAAGCCGGAGAAAGAAGTCATGGGCAAAAGCTGAAGAACACGAGAGGAAAAAAAAAATCCTCCAGAATCAATGTTTCCTTCATGAGATGCCATCCTCATTTTTTATGAGCAGGAAAGACCTTTATCAGCATTTCCACACTAATGCAACGACGCTATCACAAAAATTAATTTCTACTAATAGAAAACATCGAATTAACGTTTAAGCACTCACCCGCATAGGCCCAATCATTTCAGGAGGCTGTACATAGCGCCTTGGTCTAGGCCAATAATAGGTCGATCTTCCTCGCCAACTCATATTTCACACTGAAAACAGACAACCGTGATTGGGAACGTGCGCTCCAGAGGGCTGCTATATTCGATCACTTCCATGGATAAATGTTAACTTGCCGTTTTACTTTTGAAAATACTCTCAAAATAAGTCCCAGAGTTAAGCATACGTGTGTACGCTGTCTGAGTGCCTACAAAGCCACTTCTGCTGGCCAGGCTGGCAGAGCAATCATCTTAAGGCGTGTGGCAAAAGGCAGAGGACATTTTTTTCTAAATTTCTTTTGGACACGCGGTCTCGCTGTGTTGCTCAGGCTGGAGTGCAGCGGCGTGATCACAGCTCACTGCAGCCTCGACCTCCCGCTCAAGGGATCCTCCCACCTCAGTGTCCCCAGTAACTGGGAATACGTAGGCGAGCGCCACTGCGCCCCGCAGACAGAGGTCATTTCTGATGAGGTTTAGTTTCACAAGTGCACTCCCCACGAAAACCCTAGTGAATCACAATTCTCGTGATTGCTGCTTTGGGCACACTCCCACTTCCTAGAGCCATTCACCCCCCCTCACAACAAGTTTGGTTGGACCGCACTGCCTCGCCCACTCCTTCCCACTGTTTTCGGACCTTCCATGGCGGAGGTGAGACCTTGCAGTGCTTCTCACTCGGGCGCTCCGCACTCCACACCGCTGGGGGGGGCGCTCGCCAGGCCGCAGCCTTCCCAGGTGCCAGGCCCCTTCTTCACCGCCCGCCTCGCCCCCGCCGGGGGCCCCATTCAGGGAATCTGCCCTGTGTCGTCGGGGATCCCGGCACCTCGGGACTTCCATCCCCCCAACAGCACTCACCCCGTCTTCACCTGAGCCCCTGACCGCCTCCCCTCCACGGCCCACCTTCCTCCCCGTCCAGGCCCCTTCACGACCACGAAGCCGCCGGTGGCCTCGCAGCCTGTGAAGGGAAGGAGGACGACCTCGTGGCCCTTCTCCCTCGGAGGCCACAGACCAGGAAGCGGGACCCGCCTGACCCACCCGAGGCCCTCTCCACCCTCACTCACACTTCAGCCCCCGGGATGACTGGCCTGCACACCTACCAGATGAATCTCAGTAGAGGAAAAAGAGTCCGGACGGCAGGAACCACACAGCACTGCCTCACAGCTCCCTGGCGTTCTTCACGTGGGCGAAGGGGCCGGGCAGAAGGCGCCCAGTGAACATGCGCACTGAGGCGGGAGCCCAGGGAGCATGCGCGGCTGTGGGCTGGGGAGGGCTGCCGTTCCCAGCGCCACGCCCCAAACCCTCCATGCCCATCCTCATTGAGGATAAGGGAATCCCACCTCCCTCTGCTGTTTCCTATGCCTCTGGGACTCAAGTAGTGCTCCCCTCAAAACTCACCCCATCTTCAACTGAACCCCACCCCCAACCCAGGGCCCTCTCTTGCCCCGGACCCACCATGGGGACAAGGACCACTGTGACTGGCTGGGAAGACAGGTAAACCACCTGCGAAAACAGAAATAGCAACCTATCCCAAAAGGAAATTGTTCAATGTGAACAAGTCAGAGAAAGAGACTGAAAGAAAAATGAATAGAATCGCTAGGACCCGTAAGAAAATGCTAAAACGATATCTATCATTTGTAGCATCAGAATCGCAGAGGGTGAAGTGACAGTATTAGGGAAACAGGACAGCCAGAGTGACACCACGTGAAAATATACTCCGTCTTGAAAGCAGCAAGATACATAGTCCTACCAGTCACAACCCATGGTCCTAAGATGTTTGGAGTTGAGAAAACAGATGAAAGGTACCTCCAAGGACATGCTCCCACAGCAGCGGAAAGTGCACGGTTCCCAACACCCATTAACAATATATGCTTTCAACAGAATTATGCTTTCATGGACTTACACACTGGTAAGTCAAGGACAGTTTTCTTTAAATCAATAGAATGATAAAAGTCATCATGCTCTTAGCCCACCCGCACAAAGGAACAGATTAACTTTAGTCTTTATATAGATAAGACCCCTATATAAGAAAAACCAGACCAGGCCAAGGCTCACGCCTGTAATCCTAGTATTTTGGGAGGCTGAGCTGGCCAGATCACCTGAGCTCAGGACTTCGAGACCAGCCTAAGCAACATCAGAAAATCTCATCACTACAAAAAACAAACAAAAAAACCATCAAAAAATTAGCTGGGCATGGTGGCATGTACCTATACTCACAGCTACTCAGGAGGCTGAGGTGGGAGGAGCGCTTGAGCCCAGGAGGTCAAGGCTGCAGCGAGCTCTGATAACACCACCGCACTCCAGCCTCGGTGACAGAGTGAGACGCTGTCTCAAGTTTTAATAATCGAACCTAAAAACGTACAAATTTATCAATCGAATTCACTATATTAACCCATGAATGGGAAAAAACGCTGTGGTAATCGAAATAGATGCACTGTTTGATGAAAATCAACATATATTCAAATGAATACTCTCAGCAAATTTGGAACAGAATGGAATGACTCACTCTAGATAAAGTCTGTCTACAAAAAAAGAAGAGTGAATAGGATGGCGAAATGTTGAAATTTTTCGGTTTCTCATCAGGGATAAGACAAGGATGTCCACTGTCACCATTGTAACGGGTGGGTCTGCGCAATGCCATAAAATCAGAAAAGGAAATAAAACTCTTTACAATGGCAACGACGGGCCCGCCACGGTGGCCCACGCCAGTAATCCCAGCACTGTGGGAGGTGACGTGGGTGCATCACTTGCACTCAAAAGTTCAACAACAGCCCGGGAAACATGGCAAAACCCCGTCTCTACAAAAAAATACAAAAGGGAAAAGAAAAAAAAATGGCGGAAACAAAACTGCTCTTATTCCAGGATGATATGTTTCTGTATATTGAAGACTGAAAACGACCTAGAAGTAAACTTTAGAATTCACAAGCATATTTCACAAGGCCGCTGGATAGAAAACCAATATGTAAGAATTATGTCTCCACCGGGCGCGGAGGCTCATGCCTGTAATCCCAGCACTTTGGGAGGCCAAGGCAGGTGAATCACGAGGTCAGGAGTTCAAGAGCACCCCGGCCAAGATGGCGAAAGCCCATCTCTAGTAAAAACACAAAACTTAGCCAGGCGTGCTGGTGGGTGCCTATAATCCCAGCTACTCGGGAGGCTGAGGCAGACAATTGCTTGAATCCGGGAGGCGGGGTTGCAGTGAGCAGAGATCGCGCCACTGCACTCCAGCCTGGGCGACAGAGCAAGACTCCGTCTCAAAAGAGAACAAAGAAAGAAAGAAAAAAAAAAAGAACGATGTCTCTACATACCAGCTCAGAGAGTTACAATACACGATTTCAAAGAATGATACATATTTCACAGCATCAAAAAGCTAGAAATAAACTTCACAAAAGATGCGCAAGACTTCTTTGCAGAAGGCTGTAAAGCTTTATTGGGAGAATTTTAATGAACAAATTTCCAACATAGGAGCAGCCTGCATCATTTCAACGTGTCTTCTTTTAACACTGTGATTGCTTTTCACCTGTAACAGAAACACAACGATTGGGAACATGACTTAGCAACAGATTATTCAGATGACCCTAAAGGCATACAAAGCACACTACAGTTTGGGTTTTATTAAATGGACTAAAAACAGAACCCTATGGGTGATCCCGTGTCTTACACGCAATTGAACCTCTGCATAAACTTTGAGCGTAGACCTGCAGAATTTAAAAGGAATTTCCCCCCCTGAACATCAAGTGCTTCCTTTCAAGTCACAAGCACTTACAATTAACAGTCAGCAATTTGGAAAACACATGTGTAAAGCATACTTCAGTTGATTACTCAGGAAGTACTAGAGTCATGGTCTTTCAACTTTAAATCTTATCAATTCATGTCTCTAAAGCTGAAACTTACATGTAACATTTGATATGATTAGAGATGATTATATCGTATGTGTGTCTACAGTCTTATTAGAAATAGTGGCTCATGAAGACTGACAGTGGGGCAGGGAGCATGCATAGCACAGGCATCTTACTCACACCCATGCTGAGCATCACTGACCTACATGCCACAGATGATAGGAACTAAACGGTCTCTCGCCATTTGATATTTATTTCAGTCACTCAAGGTTTCCGTGGGGAAAGATTTAAGAAGCAATTGTACCATTTGACCCAGCCATCCCATTACTGGGTATATACCCAAAGGACTATAAATCATGCTGCTATAAAGACACATGCACACGTATGTTTATTGCGGCATTATTCACGATAGCAAAGACTTGGAACCAACCCAAATGTCCAACAACGATAGACTGGATTAAGAAAATGTGGCACATATACACCATGGAATACTATGCAGCCCTAAAAAATGATGAGTTCATGTCCTTTGCAGGGACATGGATGAAACTGGAAATCATCATTCTCAGTAAACTATCGCAAGAACAAAAAACCAAACACCGCATATTCTCACTCATAGGTGGGAACTGAACAATGAGATCACATGGACAGAGGAAGGGGAATATCACACCCTGGGGACTGTTGTCGGGTGGGGGGAGGGGGGAGGGATAGCACTGGGAGATGTACCTAATGCTAGATGATGAGATAGTGGGTGCAGCGCACCAGCATGGCACATGTATACATATGTAACTAACCTGCACAACGTGCACATGTACCCTAAAACTTAAAGTATAACAATAAATAAATAAATAAATAAATAAATAAATAAAAGAAAAAAAAGAAGCAATTGTTCATTAAAAGCCAGAGAAACCCTGCCTGGGCAACACAGTGAGACCTCATCTCTACAAAAATGAAAACAAAAAAATGTAGTCAGGCACGGTGGCTTGTGCATGTAGTTCCAGCCACTCGGGAGGCTGAGGTGGGAGGACGGCTTTAGCCTGGGAGCCAGAAGTTGCAGTGAGCTGAAATTGCATCACTGCACTCCAGCCTGGGTGACACACTGAGACTCTGTCGCAAACAAACAAACAAACCAAGAAGAGGGAGAATTCACAATTTCACAAGATCTTATACTACGTATTCAGCTCTCCACACGGAAAAACTAGGATGAAGCAGAGGGCCCGCTCACTGTCTTACTGACAATGAAATCTCAATTCAGAGATTTTCAGATGACTCGGGCCAGGGTTTCATGATTTGTGATTAACAAACCATGCGAAGCAGATGATCTCTGTGTCCCACGCATTCTATGCAACAGGATCAGAGTATGAAAGAAACGGAATGCAAAATGGTTTTAAAGTCTCTGACTTAAACTCACTATTTTCATAAGAACCAAAGATAGGTTTAGAAGGGAAAGGACTCACTCAGAATCTCGCCAAGGCTGTAAGAGCTGGTATTAGAACCCGCATGAGTGCTTCAGCATTTTTCACACCAAGTGATGGGTGTTACAAACGTGTTATGTATTGATTAAAAGCAGACCTTTACAAAAGCATCTGAAAATTGTGAGCTACTGGTTTAAGGATTTATACTCAAAACTTTTAATTCAACATAGCTTTGACTCAGTTTGTTTCCCTATCTGACAGTCTATCAGTCGGGTGCTGGGGCCTGAACTACGTTTCAAATAACCTTTATATAAGAAGTCTGTTACTAAAGACGCAGTATTGTTACCTCTCTGTTATTAAAAATATAATGCTGGGTCGGGCACGGTGGCTCTCGCCTGTAATCCCGGCAATTTCAATGGTCGAGGCAGGTGGATCACCTGAGGTCAGGAGTTTGGGAACAACCTGTGCAACATAACGAAACCCTGTCTCTACTAAAAATACAACAATTAGCTGGGCGCGGCGGAGCCCGCCTGTAAGCCCGGCTCCGCCAGAGGCTCAGGCAGGAGAATCACTTGAACCCTGGAGACAGAATTTCCTGTGAGCCGAGATGGCACCACTGCACTCCAGCCTGGTCTTCAGAGCGAGACTCCGTCTCAAAAACATAGTAAGACTTACAATATGATACTGTGGAAACAGACACCCTACAATGTGCATGCCTAATGGATTGCCTACCTTCTTCAGGCGTTTTCACCTCCTCTGGATTTGGCGGGTCCATCTCCTGCCCATCAGGACCATCTTCACACTCACACCCAGTCTGTGGGTGACCCTGTTCCTGGCTATCAGCTTCAGGCTTCGGCCCTTAAAAATAAAAAATACGTATCAATTTAAGCAGTAAAACATAACGCATGAATAAGAAAATAATATTCACGCTCTCGGTATTATTATATAAAAGCTTTAGCTAACATAATAATAAATGTGTTGATAAGAATCCCAGGAACATTATTTCAGGAGTCCGTTAGCAGAAAACAGGAAAACAAGGTGTTCCAAATATTACCCTCTTCCTTTCCGAAGACTGCCCTCAGACAACTTTGCTGCCTCCTTTGCACTTCTCTCTTATTCTACTTCTGATTGTCCTTCTCGTATTAAATGACTCAAGGCTCAAATCCCGTCTCTCACAGCACTTACACTCCTAGCGCTTAGACTCTTACATGGCATGAGTAGCCACCAATAAACGCTGAGTGAGAAAACTCTTTTAAAAATACATGAAAAAGCCCAAACTGCAGAATATTCTGCAAACCAACTGGTCTATCCTCTCCAAAAATGTCCGTATCGTGAATGACAAGAAAAATTAAGGAAACATTACAGGTTAAAGGAAACTAAAAACACCTGAAAAGCACATGCAAGGTGTGATTCTGAACTGGACTCTGGATCAGAAAAAGAAATCCTATCAATAAAATTATCTGGGCCGGGCGTGGGGTCTCACGCCTGCAATCCAAACATTTTGGGATGCCAAGGTGGGCAGAGCAGGTGAGGCCAGAAGTTCAAGCCCGCAGTGGCCGGCGCCTGTAGTCCCAGCTACACGGGAGGCTGAGGCATGAGAATCCCTAGAACCTGGGAGGTGTGGGTTGCAGTGAGCCGAGATCGCACTACTGCACTCCAACCTGGCCCACAGAGAGAGACTCCGTCTCAACAAAGAAAAAAAAAAGGAAAAAAGAAATTTTCTGGGGAACTGGCAAAATTTGAGTATGCACTCTGTATTAAATGACTCCATTTTCTCATTGTTAAATTTCCTGATTTTCATCTTTGTGCAGTGATGATCCAAGAAATGACTTTCTCTTTGTTCTGACGATATACACACCCTCAAGTACATAGGGTAAAGGACCATAATACCTGAAACTTTATCGAGACAATTCAGCATTAATAACAGTAAACATATATCCGTATGTATGTGTGTGTGTGTGTGTGTGAGTGTGTGGGCAGCACGGTAAGAGACGGAGGGAAGAGATGTGAAACTGATGAAGCGAAAGCTATTAACAATTGGTGAATCCAGATGAACAGTATATGAGTTCATTGTACTATTCTTGCAAATTTTCTATGAATGCTATGTCTTGAAGATACATACAGTAAAAATTTAAAAGAATACATGATAACTGCACTGAACTTTAGGAAGAAAGGAATTTCCAATTGTGGTAAAAAATACAGATATCCTAAAATTTACCATCTTAACTATTTTTAAGTGGTACAGTTCACTAAGGAGTTACGTTTGCAACATTACCAGCCACTAGGCACAAAAACTTTGCATCTGTGTTTTCCTATACCATGAAAACTTTACTTATTTAATGAATTTATTTATGTATTTATTTATTTATTCATTTATGTATTTATTAGCGATGAGGTCTCACTGTGTTTCCCAGGCTGGGCTTGAACTCCAGGACTCAAGCAATCCTCTCACCTCGGCCTCCCAAGTAGCTGGGACTATGAGTGCATGGCATTCAGCCCAGCTTTAGACCTTTCTCCTAAATGACAATCTAAGGATAAACCACAGGACATGTATAATGCTTATATTCAGCCCTAGAGTACCAACAGCAGTGTGCGTCAGCTGAGAAATCTGAAGTCTACCACGTGGGTAGGATTTCAGTTACAATTACAATGTCAGTTTCTGAAGGATTGATTAGCTGGACGGATTTGAGGACTATGGAAAATCTTACAGTCACGACACCCATTACCTATTGGGGTAAAGAGAAACTTCACTTTGTTCAAATAAAGTTATATTTAGGTCCGAAGGTCCTAAAGGTAATATTCCATAAATGAACCCCGTGAAGAACAAAGCACCAAATATAACATTGTTTGTGAATCACAGAAAATATACTGTCCCCCGCACTGAGAATAAGGGAGTGGGCGGACAGCAATTAATGGGCATTGTTGTCAGTCAGATTCTAGGAACTTTTAACAGTGCATCCCTGGAATAATCCATGACCTCCATTACATAAACGCTTCCTTTCAAAACATTTTATCTCGGAGAAATTATTTCCATCTCACGTTAATCTCAGGATAATTCCGTTTTTGCTTTTCTAACCATAAAAGGATTTAATCACCTCCTAAAAGCCGCTGAGAAAAATCACTAAACCAGCTACCTGTATGGCAGTATCCTCATTTATCCAGCTTTTATCAAACGTACCATATAAAAATATCAATCAAAGGAAACGGGGGCCAACATTCAGCGACTCGGTTTTTGGAGCTGCTCCTGCTCCTCTGAACTGGGTCTATTCTTGGGTCAGTACTAAGCTACCTTACAGTAAAGCCTTTTGAGTTTTAAGCATTTTCAGCAAAATCACTTCCTTCTTTACAGCAACACACATGATAGGAAGACACAAACCTTGGAACACAATACAAATGTTGTATTCACCAGTCAAGGGTTCTTGGATAACACACAATCCTGGCACCTCCATTCTCTCATTCATAAAGTCGAGAACTTTTATCATAGTGAGGGATTTGCCTAAGCTAAGCTGCAAACTACATAGCCTCCTCGCTTTTCCAGTCAATTTCAGGCATTCTTTCCATTGTTTTCTTTCCTCCTCTTCCTCCTATGTGACAATGCCTCACACACACACACACACACACACACACACGTGCACACACACACACGAACACACACACACGCACACACCAGCAGACGTTCTTCTTCCCTTTCCCTCACCTTGACCTGCAGATGCTCCCTCATCCTCTCCCTCCTGAGCAGCTGCAGGATCCTGACGTTGAGTTGCTGGTTCCCCTTCTTCAGGTGTTGCTGGTTCCACTTCATCACTGAACTGCTCGGGCTGGGGAATACGTGTGGGTGTGCAAATAGAAAATAAGTTTCGTTATTGATACAAAATTTTACATATATACACAGAATACATAGCTATTTCTGGTCATAACTAAGCCTAAAGACATTTCTCCAACTCTATGCTCTATGCCCAATAAGGTTACTCCACCCACAGGGAGGTTACTGTGAGAAAAGTGACGCACGAGGACTTTGGAGGCTATTGTACTCTGTGTTGGAATACATGTGTACAATCTGTCATTAACAAACAAAGCCGGAGAAAGAAGTCATGGGCAAAAGCTGAAGAACACGAGAGGAAAAAAAAAATCCTCCAGAATCAATGTTTCCTTCATGAGATGCCATCATCATTTTTTATGAGCAGGAAAGACCTTTATCAGCATTTCCACACTAATGCAACAACGCTATCACAAAAATTAATTTCTACTAATAGAAAACATCGAATTAACGTTTAAGCACTCACCCGCATAGGCCCAATCATTTCAGGAGGCTCTACGTAGCGTCTTGGTCTAGGCCAATAATAGGTCGATCTTCCTCGCCAACTCATATTTCACACTGAAAACAGACAACCGTGATTGGGAACGTGCGCTCCACAGGGCTGCTATATTCGATCACTTCCATGGATAAATGTAAACTTGCCGTTTTACTTTTGAAAATACTCTCAAGATAAGTCCCAGAGTTAAGCATACGTGTGTACGCTGTCTGAGTGCCTACAAAGCCACTTCTGCTGGCCAGGCTGGCAGAGCAATCATCTTAAGGCGTGTGGCAAAAGGCAGAGGACATTTTTTTCTAAATTTCTTTTGGACACGCGGTCTCGCTGTGTTGCTCAGGCTGGAGTGCAGCGGCGTGATCACAGCTCACTGCAGCCTCGACCTCCCGCTCAAGGGATCCTCCCACCTCAGTGTCCCGAGTAACTGGGACTACGTAGGCGAGCGCCACTGCGCCCCGCAGACAGAGGTCATTTCTGATGAGGTTTAGTTTCACAAGTGCACTCCCCACGAAAACCCTAGTGAATCACAATTCTCGTGATTGCTGCTTTGGGCACACTCCCACTTCCTAGAGCCATTCACCCCCCCTCACAACAAGTTTGGTTGGACCGCACTGCCTCGCCCACTCCTTCCCACTGTTTTCGGACCTTCCATGGCGGAGGTGAGACCTTGCAGTGCTTCTCACTCGGGCGCTCCGCACTCCACACCGCTGCGGGGGCGCTCACCAGGCCGCAGCCTTCCCAGGTGCCAGGCCCCTTCTTCACCGCCCGCCTCGCCCCCGCCGGGGACCCCATTCAGGGAATCTGCCCTGTGTCGTCGGGGGTTCCCGGCACCTCGGGACTTCCATCCCCCCAACAGCACTCACCCCGTCTTCACCTGAGCCCCTGACCGCCTCCCCTCCACGGCCCACCTTCCTCCCCGTCCAGGCCCCTTCACAACCACGAAGCCGCTGGTGGCCTCGCAGCCTGTGAAGGGAAGGAGGACGACCTCGTGGCCCTTCTCCCTCGGAGGCCACAGACCAGGAAGCGGGACCCGCCTGACCCACCCGAGGCCCTCTCCACCCTCACTCACACTTCAGCCCCCGGGATGACTGGCCTGCACACCTACCAGATGAATCTCAGTAGAGGAAAAAGAGTCCGGACGGCAGGAACCACACAGCACTGCCTCACAGCTCCCTGGCGTTCTTCACGTGGGCGAAGGGGCCGGGCAGAAGGCGCCCAGTGAACATGCGCACTGAGGCGGGAGCCCAGGGAGCATGCGCGGCTGTGGGCTGGGGAGGGCTGCCGTTCCCAGCGCCACGCCCCAAACCCTCCATGCCCATCCTCATTGAGGATAAGGGAATCCCACCTCCCTCTGCTGTTTCCTATGCCTCTGGGACTCAAGTAGTGCTCCCCTCAAAACTCACCCCATCTTCAACTGAACCCCACCCCCAACCCAGGGCCCTCTCTTGCCCCGGACCCACCATGGGGACAAGGACCACTGTGACTGGCTGGGAAGACAGGTAAACCACCTGCGAAAACAGAAATAGCAACCTATCCCAAAAGGAAATTGTTCAATGTGAACAAGTCAGAGAAAGAGACTGAAAGAAAAATGAATAGAATCGCTAGGACCCGTAAGAAAATGCTAAAACGATATCTATCATTTGTAGCATCAGAATCGCAGAGGGTGAAGTGACAGTATTAGGGAAACAGGACAGCCAGAGTGACACCACGTGAAAATATACTCCGTCTTGAAAGCAGCAAGATACATAGTCCTACCAGTCACAACCCATGGTCCTAAGATGTTTGGAGTTGAGAAAACAGATGAAAGGTACCTCCAAGGACATGCTCCCACAGCAGCGGAAAGTGCACGGTTCCCAACACCCATTAACAATATATGCTTTCAACAGAATTATGCTTTCATGGACTTACACACTGGTAAGTCAAGGACAGTTTTCTTTAAATCAATAGAATGATAAAAGTCATCATGCTCTTAGCCCACCCGCACAAAGGCACAGATTAACTTTAGTCTTTATATAGATAAGACCCCTATATAAGAAAAACCAGACCAGGCCAAGGCTCACGCCTGTAATCCTAGTATTTTGGGAGGCTGAGCTGGCCAGATCACCTGAGCTCAGGACTTCGAGACCAGCCTAAGCAACATCAGAAAATCTCATCACTACAAAAAACAAACAAAAAAACCATCGAAAAATTAGCTGGGCATGGTGGCATGTACCTATACTCACAGCTACTCAGGAGGCTGAGGTGGGAGGAGCGCTTGAGCCCAGGAGGTCAAGGCTGCAGCGAGCTCTGATAACACCACCGCACTCCAGCCTCGGTGACAGAGTGAGACGCTGTCTCAAGTTTTAATAATCGAACCTAAAAACGTACAAATTTATCAATCGAATTCACTATATTAACACATGAATGGGAAAAAACGCTGTGGTAATCGAAATAGATGCACTGTTTGATGAAAATCAACATATATTCAAATGAATACTCTCAGCAAATTTGGAACAGAATGGAATGACTCACTCTGATAAAGTCCGTCTACAAAAAAAGGAGAGTGAATAGGATGGCGAAATGTTGAAATTTTTCGGTTTCTCATCAGGGATAAGACAAGGATGTCCACTGTCACCATTGTAACGGGTGGGTCTGCGCAATGCCATAAAATCAGAAAAGGAAATAAAACTCTTTACAATGGCAACGACGGGCCCGCCACGGTGGCCCACGCCAGTAATCCCAGCACTGTGGGAGGTGACGTGGGTGCATCACTTGCACTCAAAAGTTCAACAACAGCCCGGGAAACATGGCAAAACCCCGTCTCTACAAAAAAATACAAAAGGGAAAAGAAAAAAAAATGGCGGAAACAAAACTGCTCTTATTCCAGGATGATATGTTTCTGTATATTGAAGACTGAAAACGACCTAGAAGTAAACTTTAGAATTCACAAGCATATTTCACAAGGCCGCTGGATAGAAAACCAATATGTAAGAATTATGTCTCCACCGGGCGCGGAGGCTCATGCCTGTAATCCCAGCACTTTGGGAGGCCAAGGCAGGTGAATCACGAGGTCAGGAGTTCAAGAGCACCCCGGCCAAGATGGCGAAAGCCCATCTCTAGTAAAAACACAAAACTTAGCCAGGCGTGCTGGTGGGTGCCTATAATCCCAGCTACTCGGGAGGCTGAGGCAGACAATTGCTTGAATCCGGGAGGCGGGGTTGCAGTGAGCAGAGATCGCGCCACTGCACTCCAGCCTGGGCGACAGAGCAAGACTCCGTCTCAAAAGAGAACAAAGAAAGAAAGAAAAAAAAAAAGAACGATGTCTCTACATACCAGCTCAGAGAGTTACAATACACGATTTCAAAGAATGATACATATTTCACAGCATCAAAAAGCTAGAAATAAACTTCACAAAAGATGCGCAAGACTTCTTTGCAGAAGGCTGTAAAGCTTTATTGGGAGAATTTTAATGAACAAATTTCCAACATAGGAGCAGCCTGCATCATTTCAACGTGTCTTCTTTTAACACTGTGATTGCTTTTCACCTGTAACAGAAACACAACGATTGGGAACATGACTTAGCAACAGATTATTCAGATGACCCTAAAGGCATACAAAGCACACTACAGTTTGGGTTTTATTAAATGGACTAAAAACAGAACCCTATGGGTGATCCCGTGTCTTACACGCAATTGAACCTCTGCATAAACTTTGAGCGTAGACCTGCAGAATTTAAAAGGAATTTCCCCCCCTGAACATCAAGTGCTTCCTTTCAAGTCACAAGCACTTACAATTAACAGTCAGCAATTTGGAAAACACATGTGTAAAGCATACTTCAGTTGATTACTCAGGAAGTACTAGAGTCATGGTCTTTCAACTTTAAATCTTATCAATTCATGTCTCTAAAGCTGAAACTTACATGTAACATTTGATATGATTAGAGATGATTATATCGTATGCGTGTCTACAGTCTTATTAGAAATAGTGGCTCATGAAGACTGACAGTGGGGCAGGGAGCATGCATAGCACAGGCATCTTACTCACACCCATGCTGAGCATCACTGACCTACATGCCACAGATGATAGGAACTAAACGGTCTCTCGCCATTTGATATTTATTTCAGTCACTCAAGGTTTCCGTGGGGAAAGATTTAAGAAGCAATTGTACCATTTGACCCAGCCATCCCATTACTGGGTATATACCCAAAGGACTATAAATCATGCTGCTATAAAGACACATGCACACGTATGTTTATTGCGGCATTATTCACGATAGCAAAGACTTGGAACCAACCCAAATGTCCAACAACGATAGACTGGATTAAGAAAATGTGGCACATATACACCATGGAATACTATGCAGCCCTAAAAAATGATGAGTTCATGTCCTTTGCAGGGACATGGATGAAACTGGAAATCATCATTCTCAGTAAACTATCGCAAGAACAAAAAACCAAACACCGCATATTCTCACTCATAGGTGGGAACTGAACAATGAGATCACATGGACAGAGGAAGGGGAATATCACACCCTGGGGACTGTTGTCGGGTGGGGGGAGGGGGGAGGGATAGCACTGGGAGATGTACCTAATGCTAGATGATGAGATAGTGGGTGCAGTGCAACAGCATGGCACATGTATACATATGTAACTAACCTGCACAACGTGCACATGTACCCTAAAACTTAAAGTATAACAATAAATAAATAAATAAATAAATAAAAGAAAAAAAAGAAGCAATTGTTCATTAAAAGCCAGAGAAACCCTGCCTGGGCAACACAGTGAGACCTCATCTCTACAAAAATGAAAACAAAAAAATGTAGTCAGGCACGGTGGCTTGTGCATGTAGTTCCAGCCACTCGGGAGGCTGAGGTGGGAGGACGGCTTTAGCCTGGGAGCCAGAAGTTGCAGTGAGCTGAAATTGCATCACTGCACTCCAGCCTGGGTGACACACTGAGACTCTGTCGCAAACAAACAAACAAACCAAGAAGAGGGAGAATTCACAATTTCACAAGATCTTATACTACGTATTCAGCTCTCCACACGGAAAAACTAGGATGAAGCAGAGGGCCCGCTCACTGTCTTACTGACAATGAAATCTCAATTCAGAGATTTTCAGATGACTCGGGCCAGGGTTTCATGATTTGTGATTAACAAACCATGCGAAGCAGATGATCTCTGTGTCCCACGCATTCTATGCAACAGGATCAGAGTATGAAAGAAACGGAATGCAAAATGGTTTTAAAGTCTCTGACTTAAACTCACTATTTTCATAAGAACCAAAGATAGGTTTAGAAGGGAAAGGACTCACTCAGAATCTCGCCAAGGCTGTAAGAGCTGGTATTAGAACCCGCATGAGTGCTTCAGCATTTTTCACACCAAGTGATGGGTGTTACAAACGTGTTATGTATTGATTAAAAGCAGACCTTTACAAAAGCATCTGAAAATTGTGAGCTACTGGTTTAAGGATTTATACTCAAAACTTTTAATTCAACATAGCTTTGACTCAGTTTGTTTCCCTATCTGACAGTCTATCAGTCGGGTGCTGGGGCCTGAACTACGTTTCAAATAACCTTTATATAAGAAGTCTGTTACTAAAGACGCAGTATTGTTACCTCTCTGTTATTAAAAATATAATGCTGGGTCGGGCACGGTGGCTCTCGCCTGTAATCCCGGCAATTTCAATGGTCGAGGCAGGTGGATCACCTGAGGTCAGGAGTTTGGGAACAACCTGTGCAACATAACGAAACCCTGTCTCTACTAAAAATACAACAATTAGCTGGGCGCGGCGGAGCCCGCCTGTAAGCCCGGCTCCGCCAGAGGCTCAGGCAGGAGAATCACTTGAACCCTGGAGACAGAATTTCCAGTGAGCCGAGATGGCACCACTGCACTCCAGCCTGGTCTTCAGAGCGAGACTCCGTCTCAAAAACATAGTAAGACTTACAATATGATACTGTGGAAACAGACACCCTACAATGTGCATGCCTAATGGATTGCCTACCTTCTTCAGGCGTTTTCACCTCCTCTGGATTTGGCGGGTCCATCTCCTGCCCATCAGGACCATCTTCACACTCACACCCAGTCTGTGGGTGACCCTGTTCCTGGCTATCAGCTTCAGGCTTCGGCCCTTAAAAATAAAAAATACGTATCAATTTAAGCAGTAAAACATAACGCATGAATAAGAAAATAATATTCACGCTCTCGGTATTATTATATAAAAGCTTTAGCTAACATAATAATAAATGTGTTGATAAGAATCCCAGGAACATTATTTCAGGAGTCCGTTAGCAGAAAACAGGAAAACAAGGTGTTCCAAATATTACCCTCTTCCTTTCCGAAGACTGCCCTCAGACAACTTTGCTGCCTCCTTTGCACTTCTCTCTTATTCTACTTCTGATTGTCCTTCTCGTATTAAATGACTCAAGGCTCAAATCCCGTCTCTCACAGCACTTACACTCCTAGCGCTTAGACTCTTACATGGCATGAGTAGCCACCAATAAACGCTGAGTGAGAAAACTCTTTTAAAAATACATGAAAAAGCCCAAACTGCAGAATATTCTGCAAACCAACTGGTCTATCCTCTCCAAAAATGTCCGTATCGTGAATGACAAGAAAAATTAAGGAAACATTACAGGTTAAAGGAAACTAAAAACACCTGAAAAGCACATGCAAGGTGTGATTCTGAACTGGACTCTGGATCAGAAAAAGAAATCCTATCAATAAAATTATCTGGGCCGGGCGTGGGGTCTCACGCCTGCAATCCAAACATTTTGGGATGCCAAGGTGGGCAGAGCAGGTGAGGCCAGAAGTTCAAGCCCGCAGTGGCCGGCGCCTGTAGTCCCAGCTACACGGGAGGCTGAGGCATGAGAATCCCTAGAACCTGGGAGGTGTGGGTTGCAGTGAGCCGAGATCGCACTACTGCACTCCAACCTGGCCCACAGAGAGAGACTCCGTCTTCACACAAAGAAAAAAAAAAAGGAAAAAAGAAATTTTCTGGGGAACTGGCAAAATTTGAGTATGCACTCTGTATTAAATGACTCCATTTTCTCATTGTTAAATTTCCTGATTTTCATCTTTGTGCAGTGATGATCCAAGAAATGACTTTCTCTTTGTTCTGACGATATACACACCCTCAAGTACATAGGGTAAAGGACCATAATACCTGAAACTTTATCGAGACAATTCAGCATTAATAACAGTATGTATGTGTGTGTGTGTGTGTGTGAGTGTGTGGGCAGCACGGTAAGAGACGGAGGGAAGAGATGTGAAACTGATGAAGCGAAAGCTATTAACAATTGGTGAATCCAGATGAACAGTATATGAGTTCATTGTACTATTCTTGCAAATTTTCTATGAATGCTATGTCTTGAAGATACATACAGTAAAAATTTAAAAGAATATATGATAACTGCACTGAACTTTAGGAAGAAAGGAATTTCCAATTGTGGTAAAAAATACAGATATCCTAAAATTTACCATCTTAACTATTTTTAAGTGGTACAGTTCACTAAGGAGTTACGTTTGCAACATTACCAGCCACTAGGCACAAAAACTTTGCATCTGTGTTTTCCTATACCATGAAAACTTTACTTATTTAATGAATTTATTTATGTATTTATTTATTTATTCATTTATGTATTTATTAGCGATGAGGTCTCACTGTGTTTCCCAGGCTGGGCTTGAACTCCAGGACTCAAGCAATCCTCTCACCTCGGCCTCCCAAGTAGCTGGGACTATGAGTGCATGGCATTCAGCCCAGCTTTAGACCTTTCTCCTAAATGACAATCTAAGGATAAACCACAGGACATGTATAATGCTTATATTCAGCCCTAGAGTACCAACAGCAGTGTGCGTCAGCTGAGAAATCTGAAGTCTACCACGTGGGTAGGATTTCAGTTACAATTACAATGTCAGTTTCTGAAGGATTGATTAGCTGGACGGATTTGAGGACTATGGAAAATCTTACAGTCACGACACCCATTACCTATTGGGGTAAAGAGAAACTTCACTTTGTTCAAATAAAGTTATATTTAGGTCCGAAGGTCCTAAAGGTAATATTCCATAAATGAACCCCGTGAAGAACAAAGCACCAAATATAACATTGTTTGTGAATCACAGAAAATATACTGTCCCGCACTGAGAATAAGGGAGTGGGTGGACAGCAATTAATGGGCATTGTTGTCAGTCAGATTCTAGGAACTTTTAACAGTGCATCCCTGGAATAATCCATGACCTCCATTACATAAACGCTTCCTTTCAAAACATTTTATCTCGGAGAAATTATTTCCATCTCACGTTAATCTCAGGATAATTCCGTTTTTGCTTTTCTAACCATAAAAGGATTTAATCACCTCCTAAAAGCCGCTGAGAAAAATCACTAAACCAGCTACCTGTATGGCAGTATCCTCATTTATCCAGCTTTTATCAAACGTACCATATAAAAATATCAATCAAAGGAAACGGGGGCCAACATTCAGCGACTCGGTTTTTGGAGCTGCTCCTGCTCCTCTGAACTGGGTCTATTCTTGGGTCAGTACTAAGCTACCTTACAGTAAAGCCTTTTGAGTTTTAAGCATTTTCAGCAAAATCACTTCCTTCTTTACAGCAACACACATGATAGGAAGACACAAACCTTGGAACACAATACAAATGTTGTATTCACCAGTCAAGGGTTCTTGGATAACACACAATCCTGGCACCTCCATTCTCTCATTCATAAAGTCGAGAACTTTTATCATAGTGAGGGATTTGCCTAAGCTAAGCTGCAAACTACATAGCCTCCTCGCTTTTCCAGTCAATTTCAGGCATTCTTTCCATTGTTTTCTTTCCTCCTCTTCCTCCTATGTGACAATGCCTAACACACACACACACACACACACACACACATGCACACACACACACGAACACACACACACGCACACACCAGCAGACGTTCTTCTTCCCTTTCCCTCACCTTGACCTGCAGATGCTCCCTCATCCTCTCCCTCCTGAGCAGCTGCAGGATCCTGACGTTGAGTTGCTGGTTCCCCTTCTTCAGGTGTTGCTGGTTCCACTTCATCACTGAACTGCTCGGGCTGGGGAATACGTGTGGGTGTGCAAATAAAAAATAAGTTTCGTTATTGATACAAAATTTTACATATATACACAGAATACATAGCTATTTCTGGTCCTAACTAAGCCTAAAGACATTTCTCCAACTCTATGCTCTATGCCCAATAAGGTTACTCCACCCACAGGGAGGTTACTGTGAGAAAAGTGACGCACGAGGACTTTGGAGGCTATTGTACTCTGTGTTGGAATACATGTGTACAATCTGTCATTAACAAACAAAGCCGGAGAAAGAAGTCATGGGCAAAAGCTGAAGAACACGAGAGGAAAAAAAAAATCCTCCAGAATCAATGTTTCCTTCATGAGATGCCATCATCATTTTTTATGAGCAGGAAAGACCTTTATCAGCATTTCCACACTAATGCAACAACGCTATCACAAAAATTAATTTCTACTAATAGAAAACATCGAATTAACGTTCAAGCACTCACCCGCATAGGCCCAATCATTTCAGGAGGCTGTACATAGGGTCTTGGTCTAGGCCAATAATAGGTCGATCTTCCTCGCCAACTCATATTTCACACTGAAAACAGACAACCGTGATTGGGAACGTGCGCTCCACAGGGCTGCTATATTCGATCACTTCCATGGATAAATGTAAACTTGCCGTTTTACTTTTGAAAATACTCTCAAGATAAGTCCCAGAGTTAAGCATACGTGTGTACGCTGTCTGAGTGCCTACAAAGCCACTTCTGCTGGCCAGGCTGGCAGAGCAATCATCTTAAGGCATGTGGCAAAAGGCAGAGGACATTTTTTTCTAAATTTCTTTTGGACACGCGGTCTCGCTGTGTTGCTCAGGCTGGAGTGCAGCGGCGTGATCACAGCTCACTGCAGCCTCGACCTCCCGCTCAAGGGATCCTCCCACCTCAGTGTCCCGAGTAACTGGGACTACGTAGGCGAGCGCCACTGCGCCCCGCAGACAGAGGTCATTTCTGATGAGGTTTAGTTTCACAAGTGCACTCCCCACGAAAACCCTAGTGAATCACAATTCTCGTGATTGCTGCTTTGGGCACACTCCCACTTCCTAGAGCCATTCACCCCCCCTCACAACAAGTTTGGTTGGACCGCACTGCCTCGCCCACTCCTTCCCACTGTTTTCGGACCTTCCATGGCGGAGGTGAGACCTTGCAGTGCTTCTCACTCAGGCGCTCCGCACTCCACACCGCTGGGGGGGGCGCTCACCAGGCCGCAGCCTTCCCAGGTGCCAGGCCCCTTCTTCACCGCCCGCCTCGCCCCCGCCGGAGGCCCCATTCAGGGAATCTGCCCTGTGTCGTCGGGGGTTCCCGGCACCTCGGGACTTCCATCCCCCCAACAGCACTCACCCCATCTTCACCTGAGCCCCTGACCGCCTCCCCTCCACGGCCCACCTTCCTCCCCGTCCAGGCCCCTTCACGACCACGAAGCCGCCGGTGGCCTCGCAGCCTGTGAAGGGAAGGAGGACGACCTCGTGGCCCTTCTCCCTCGGAGGCCACAGACCAGGAAGCGGGACCCGCCTGACCCACCCAAGGCCCTCTCCACCCTCACTCACACTTCAGCCCCCGGGATGACTGGCCTGCAGACCTACCAGATGAATCTCAGTAGAGGAAAAAGAGTCCGGACGGCAGGAACCACACAGCACTGCCTCACAGCTCCCTGGCGTTCTTCACGTGGGCGAAGGGGCCGGGCAGAAGACGCCCAGTGAACATGCGCACTGAGGCGGGAGCCCAGGGAGCATGCGCGGCTGTGGGCTGGGGAGGGCTGCCGTTCCCAGCGCCACGCCCCAAACCCTCCATGCCCATCCTCATTGAGGATAAGGGAATCCCACCTCCCTCTGCTGTTTCCTATGCCTCTGGGACTCAAGTAGTGCTCCCCTCAAAACTCACCCCATCTTCAACTGAACCCCACCCCCAACCCAGGGCCCTCTCTTGCCCCGGACCCACCATGGGGACAAGGACCACTGTGACTGGCTGGGAAGACAGGTAAACCACCTGCGAAAACAGAAATAGCAACCTATCCCAAAAGGAAATTGTTCATTGTGAACAAGTCAGAGAAAGAGACTGAAAGAAAAATGAATAGAATCGCTAGGACCCGTAAGAAAATGCTAAAACGATATCTATCATTTGTAGCATCAGAATCACAGAGGGTGAAGTGACAGTATTAGGGAAACAGGACAGCCAGAGTGAAACCACGTGAAAATATACTCCGTCTTGAAAGCAGCAAGATACATAGTCCTACCAGTCACAACCCATGGTCCTAAGATGTTTGGAGTTGAGAAAACAGATGAAAGGTACCTCCAAGGACATGCTCCCACAGCAGCGGAAAGTGCACGGTTCCCAACACCCATTAACAATATATGCTTTCAACAGAATTATGCTTTCATGGCCTTACACACTGGTAAGTCAAGGATAGTTTTCTTTAAATCAATAGAATGATAAAAGTCATCATGCTCTTAGCCCACCCGCACAAAGGCACAGATTAACTTTAGTCTTTATATAGATAAGACCCCTATATAAGAAAAACCAGACCAGGCCAAGGCTCACGCCTGTAATCCTAGTATTTTGGGAGGCTGAGCTGGCCAGATCACCTGAGCTCAGGACTTCGAGACCAGCCTAAGCAACATCAGAAAATCTCATCACTACAAAAAACAAACAAAAAACCATCGAAAAATTAGCTGGGCATGGTGGCATGTACCTATACTCACAGCTACTCAGGAGGCTGAGGTGGGAGGAGCGCCTGAGCCCAGGAGGTCAAGGCTGCAGCGAGCTCTGATAACACCACTGCACTCCAGCCTCGGTGACAGAGTGAGACGCTGTCTCAAGTTTTAATAATCGAACCTAAAAACGTACAAATTTATCAATCGAATTCACTATATTAACACATGAATGGGAAAAAACGCTGTGGTAATCGAAATAGATGCACTGTTTGATGAAAATCAACATATATTCAAATGAATACTCTCAGCAAATTTGGAACAGAATGGAATGACTCACTCTGATAAAGTCCATCTACAAAAAAAGGAGAGTGAATAGGATGGTGAAATGTTGAAATTTTTCGGTTTCTCATCAGGGATAAGACAAGGATGTCCACTGTCACCATTGTAACGGGTGGGTCTGCGCAATGCCATAAAATCAGAAAAGGAAATAAAACTCTTTACAATGGCAACGACGGGCCCGCCACGGTGGCCCACGCCAGTAATCCCAGCACTGTGGGAGATGACGTGGGTGCATCACTTGCACTCAAAAGTTCAACAACAGCCCGGGAAACATGGCAAAACCCCGTCTCTACAAAAAAATACAAAAGGGAAAAGAAAAAAAAATGGCGGAAACAAAACTGCTCTTATTCCAGGATGATATGTTTCTGTATATTGAAGACTGAAAACGACCTAGAAGTAAACTTTAGAATTCACAAGCATATTTCACAAGGCCGCTGGATAGAAAACCAATATGTAAGAATTATGTCTCCACCGGGCGCGGAGGCTCATGCCTGTAATCCCAGCACTTTGGGAGGCCAAGGCAGGTGAATCACGAGGTCAGGAGTTCAAGAGCACCCCGGCCAAGATGGCGAAAGCCCATCTCTAGTAAAAACACAAAACTTAGCCAGGCGTGCTGGTGGGTGCCTATAATCCCAGCTACTCGGGAGGCTGAGGCAGACAATTGCTTGAATCCGGGAGGCGGGGTTGCAGTGAGCAGAGATCGCGCCACTGCACTCCAGCCTGGGCGACAGAGCAAGACTCCGTCTCAAAAGAGGACAAAGAAAGAAAGAAAAAAAAAAGAACGATGTCTCTACATACCAGCTCAGAGAGTTACAATACACGATTTCAAAGAATGATACATATTTCACAGCATCAAAAAGCTAGAAATAAACTTCACAAAAGATGCGCAAGACTTCTTTGCAGAAGGCTGTAAAGCTTTATTGGGAGAATTTTAATGAACAAATTTCCAACATAGGAGCAGCCTGCATCATTTCAACGTGTCTTCTTTTAACACTGTGATTGCTTTTCACCTGTAACAGAAACACAACGATTGGGAACATGACTTAGCAACAGATTATTCAGATGACCCTAAAGGCATACAAAGCACACTACAGTTTGGGTTTTATTAAATGGACTAAAAACAGAACCCTATGGGTGATCCCGTGTCTTACACGCAATTGAACCTCTGCATAAACTTTGAGCGTAGACCTGCAGAATTTAAAAGGAATTTCCCCCCTGAACATCAAGTGCTTCCTTTCAAGTCACAAGCACTTACAATTAACAGTCAGCAATTTGGAAAACACATGTGTAAAGCATACTTCAGTTGATTACTCAGGAAGTACTAGAGTCATGGTCTTTCAACTTTAAATCTTATCAATTCATGTCTCTAAAGCTGAAACTTACATGTAACATTTGATATGATTAGAGATGATTATATCGTATGTGTGTCTACCGTCTTATTAGAAATAGTGGCTCATGAAGACTGACAGTGGGGCAGGGAGCATGCATAGCACAGGCATCTTACTCACACCCATGCTGAGCATCACTGACCTACATGCCACAGATGATAGGAACTAAACGGTCTCTCGCCATTTGATATTTATTTCAGTCACTCAAGGTTTCCGTGGGGAAAGATTTAAGAAGCAATTGTACCATTTGACCCAGCCATCCCATTACTGGGTATATACCCAAAGGACTATAAATCATGCTGCTATAAAGACACATGCACACGTATGTTTATTGCGGCATTATTCACGATAGCAAAGACTTGGAACCAACCCAAATGTCCAACAACGATAGACTGGATTAAGAAAATGTGACACATATACACCATGGAATACTATGCAGCCCTAAAAAATGATGAGTTCATGTCCTTTGTAGGGACATGGATGAAACTGGAAATCATCATTCTCAGTAAACTATCGCAAGAACAAAAAACCAAACACCGCATATTCTCACTCATAGGTGGGAACTGAACAATGAGATCACATGGACAGAGGAAGGGGAATATCACACCCTGGGGACTGTTGTCGGGTGGGGGGAGGGGGGAGGGATAGCACTGGGAGATGTACCTAATGCTAGATGATGAGATAGTGGGTGCAGCGCACCAGCATGGCACATGTATACGTATGTAACTAACCTGCACAACGTGCACATGTACCCTAAAACTTAAAGTATAATAAATAAATAAAAGGAAAAAAAAGAAGCAATTGTTCATTAAAAGCCAGAGAAACCCTGCCTGGGCAACACAGTGAGACCTCATCTCTACAAAAATGAAAACAAAAAAATGTAGTCAGGCACGGTGGCTTGTGCATGTAGTTCCAGCCACTCGGGAGGCTGAGGTGGGAGGACGGCTTTAGCCTGGGAGCCAGAAGTTGCAGTGAGCTGAAATTGCATCACTGCACTCCAGCCTGGGTGACACACTGAGACTCTGTCCCAAACAAACAAACAAACCAAGAAGAGGGAGAATTCACAATTTCACAAGATCTTACACTACGTATTCAGCTCTCCACACGGAAAAACTAGGATGAAGCAGAGGGCCCGCTCACTGTCTTACTGACAATGAAATCTCAATTCAGAGATTTTCAGATGACTCGGGCCAGGGTTTCATGATTTGTGATTAACAAACCATGCGAAGCAGATGATCTCTGTGTCCCACGCATTCTATGCAACAGGATCAGAGTATGAAAGAAACGGAATGCAAAATGGTTTTAAAATCTCTGACTTAAACTCACTATTTTCATAAGAACCAAAGATAGGTTTAGAAGGGAAAGGACTCACTCAGAATCTCGCCAAGGCTGTAAGAGCTGGTATTAGAACCCGCATGAGTGCTTCAGCATTTTTCACACCAAGTGATGGGTGTTACAAACGTGTTATGTATTGATTAAAAGCAGACCTTTACAAAAGCATCTGAAAATTGTGAGCTACTGGTTTAAGGATTTATACTCAAAACTTTTAATTCAACATAGCTTTGACTCAGTTTGTTTCCCTATCTGACAGTCTATCAGTCGGGTGCTGGGGCCTGAACTACGTTTCAAATAACCTTCATATAAGAACTCTCTTACTAAAGAGGCAGTATTGTTACCTGTGTTATTAAAAATATAATGCCTTGGTCGCGTATGGTGGCTCTCGCATGTAATCCTGGCAATTTCAAAGGTTAAGTTAAGTGGATCACCTGAGGTCAGGAGTTCGGGAACAACCTGTGCAACATAATGAAACCCTGTCTCTACTAAAAATACAAAAATTAGCTGGGCACATTGGTGTATGTCCATAAGCCCAGCTCCGCGAGAGGCTCATACAGGAGAATCACTTGAACCCAGAAGGCGGAATTTCCAATGAGCCGAGATGCCACCACTGCACTCCAGCCTGGTGGACAGAGCAAGACTCCATCTCAAAAATGTAATAATAATTATGATACGATACTGTGGAAACAGACACCCTACAATGTGCATGCCTAATGGATTCCCTACCTTCTTCAGGCCTTTTCACCTCCTCTGGATTTGGCAGGCCCATCTCCTGGCCATCAGGACCATCTCCACACTCACACCCAGTCTTTGGGTGAACCTGTTCCTGGCTATCAGCTTCAGGCTTCGGCCATTAAAAATAAAAAATACATATCAATTTAAGCAGTAAAACATGAAATATGAATAAGAAAATAATATTCATGCTCTCGGTGTTATTATATAAAAGCTTTAGCTAGTATAATAATAAATATGTTGATAAGAATCCCATGAACATTATTTCAGGAGTCTGTTAGCAGAAAACAGGAAAACAAGGTGTTCCAAATATTACCCTCTTCCTTTCCAGAGACTGCCCTCAGACAACTCTGCTGCCTCCTTTGCACTTTGTTATTCTACCTCTGATTGTCCTTCTCATATTAAATGATTCAAGGCTGAAATCCTGTCTCTCACAGCACTTACACTCCTAGCACTTAGACTGTTATATGGCATGACTAGCCAGCAATAAATGCTGAGTTTAAAAAAGGTCTTTAAAAAAGACATGAAAAAGCCCAAACTGCAGAACATTCTGGAAACCAACTGGTCTATCCTCTTCAAAAATGTCTGTATCATGAATGACAAAGACAAATTAAGGAAACATTCCAGATTAAAGGAAACTAAAAACACCTGAAAAGCACATGCAAGATGTGATCCTGAACTTGACTCCGGATCAGAAAAAGGAATTCTATCAATAAAATTATCTGCGTTGGGCGTGGGGTCTCACTTCTGCGGGATAATTAAGGAATCAGAGAGACCAAGGGGTTGAGGAGGAATTATTTAATTATTTAGGTGCACCGACCCAGTTGGATTACATCCAAAGGACTGAGCCCCAAACAAAGAGTGAAGCTACCTTTTAAGCATTTCGTGGGGCAGGTGAGATCTGTGCAGGGGAAGCGTATTACAGAAGCAAGAAACAAAGGCAGTTATTCAATTAAAACATGCATTACATCATTTCTTACTTTTCAAGGAACAACATGTTTTGCGACTTGAGATTATCTGTCTAGTGACCTTACTGCTGCACAGCTAGAGAAACAGTCTTCACAATGCCTGGGAAAGGGGGAGATAAGGCTCACTAGCCACAGAAGGAAAAACAGGCAGTTAATTTTAAAGGACTCCAGCTCTTTCTCTTCCTCAGGGGGAGTTGGGTTTTCTTACAAACAACTGAGTTTTTGCTTACACATTCTTTAATTTCTTCTAATTCCTGTTTCATTTCCCCCCTTTGGTGCTTTTCATAACAAAGGTGTTCATAGCAAGCACCATTATTTGCCACCTCTTCGTGGAGCTGGGCTTCTTCTTCTACTGGCAGCAGCTGATGTTTGGTTAATGCCATCAACTGTGAGGTAGTGTGTCGGGTTACTATTGCCTTTATAGTTGACTGAATACTCCTAATAATCAGGGGTAAAATAAAAGGGAGGATGAGGCAGATGCCAAGATTAAACAAAAACCCACCAATGAGAGTTTTGAATCCTCCAAAGGTTGAGAACTATCCTCCAAACAACAAATCCAAGGACCATCCGGACCAAGTCTGAACTGGAACATGGGCCAACTTGCGCATTCTAGCTGTGATTTCCATGACAGCTCAGCCATTATCATCGATTTCTAGGCAACAGTTGGTTAAATTAAATTTTCCACATACTCCTCCTTCTGAGGCTAAGAGGTAATCTAAAGCCAATCTATTTTGATGTATAGCATTTCTCATTTGTGTTGCTTGTATTGCCAATAAATCTAGTGCCCTTGATGCTTCATTGGTTATAATTTCAAGGACTGCCTGCAACCTTATGACGCAGTTGAGCATATAGATTGTGGTGTGATATCCCCATGACCCATCCTGTGCCCAGGTAGTTGGCCCATAATATTTAGTGATTGTTTCATGAGGCCATTCATTATCCTTCCAGTCTCCTATGTCTACATCCTTTTTGACATTTGTGTCTATTTTTGTGAATATGCTTCTTCTAGTTCTTCTTTTATTTTCCTCATAAACTGGATACCCTAAGAGTTCCCTTTGCTTTAGAGGAATTAGAAAGAAGGATGGCTTGATTGTTCCTAACACACACGCCCCTGTCCATTTAGCCAGCAGTTGCCAATATGCCTATGTGCCACAGATCCAATATAGGCCAGAGGGTGCTTTCCAAGCATTTGGAGCCTCTAGAGATGCCAAGAGTGGCTTAGAGTAGAGAACCGAGAGAAAGGGTTTGGATCTGGTAAGTAGGAGTCATTCTGGGCATTTCTCCATAGAGTTTTGTTTTTAGTCTTATCATAATACTGTTGCCCTAGGCAGGTTGTTTCTCCTACTCTCTCTGTGAAAGCCTTTCCCCAACGGGCAATACAGTATTTTTCAATTATGGAGGTTTTTAACAACCAAACACTGGCTGAGGCTGTTGGTTCACTGGCAGGGTTAGGCAAAGTGAAGTTATCTTGTGGCATTAATTCCTTTGCCTCCCATGGCCACTGGTCCCCCATATTATTTCCTCCACATACATAGCATGAGGAAATTCATAAGCTGCCAGCTATGTTTGCAGCTGATTGGGCAAATAAGTTTTTGGTTGATGGGGGAAGCTCAGGCACTGACTGAACAAAATGCTTATAGAATGACTTACGGACCCGAAATTGCGGGGTTGGACGCATTTGAGTCCTTCTAGTCTTTTTGACAATTAGTAGTGGAACTCCAAGGCCTGCTCCTTGTCTGTTTACCTGTAATAGTGCTGTCTGTCCTGTAGACGAGAAAGGTAGCTCTGGCTTTAAGATAGTAAAATTTAAAGGATTGCATGTCCTTGTCTTACAATTTGGTTTGGTTGACATACTCCTTAGCAGAGCAGTCCTTCCTGAATATAAGTGTTAGAGCTGTGTTAGTGTAGACCACTGAATGTTACAGTCAGGGCATCTGATTTGTGGTTCTCCATACAGATGTTTAGGGCTGGTCCTGCTAAGCCTCTCTTGTGTTAAACCATTGCAGACTGTTTCTGGTTGTATGTGTAGGTTCTTAACTTGATTCCTGTACATTTATAGTAGGTATGGTACAGTAGAATTTTAACTATGGTATTTTTTACCCAGGTAGTGTGTACACAATGTGGGCATCCTTCTCAAGATTTCTCCCCTTTTAGTATAGGCAGAAATGGTAACAACATCAGTGTACGTAATAGAAACATGTTTACACTACACATGGGCATGGCAAACCTTCTTCTGAGCATAGACATTTGCAGCATTTGCAGTAATAACAACAGAACAATCAGTATTGACAGAATTATAACTAGGCTTATAAATTGTATTTACATTTAATTATCCGGAGATGGTCCTCTTAGCTTCGGCCATGCATAGACTAGTCAGCTTCCAGGATGTGACTAGAGCAGAGCTTGTAGGATCCTCAAGCTTCAGCCATATGTAGACTGACCAGCCTCTGGTGTGGTCAGAGCAGGGCAGTCGTCCTTCTTACCGGTGGTTGGGTTTTGCCGTAGGAGCATTCGGGTGGGACAATCTGGGTCTTGTTGGCTAATCCACTGGTCATCGTCGGGAGTCACTGCTGCCACTGGTTTCAGGCGGCTATGGTGAATCCAAGGTGTGACACCTGCAACTTTAACAGCAGTGGAAGTAGACATGATCACAATATGGGGCCCATCCCATAAGGGCCCCAAGGTTGTTGGATTCCACCTTTTAACCCAGACAGAGTCCTCTGGCTTATGTGGATGCACTGGGTCTGTTAGACTTACAGGTATCCTTTCCCTTACCCAGCTATGCACCTCCTACATTCCCACTCCTAAAGCCTGCATCTGTCTCCTAAGGGTTAACTCTCCTAACTCCTTTAAATCCCCTCTAATTTGATTAATAATTGGGGGTGGCCTTCCGAACAATATTTCATAGGGTGAGTACCCAGTTTGTTTTGTAGGTGTACACCTGACCTGGAGGAGGACCATGGGCAAGACCTGATCCCATCGTAAGTGAGTTTCCTGGCTAAACTTTTTTAGTAGCTGTTTGAGTGTCCGGTTCATCCGTTCCACCTTCCCTGAACTCTGTGGTGAGTAGGCTGTGTGCAGTTTCCATTTGATCTTTAAAAGTTGAGTCAGCTTTTGTACTACTTCTGCCACAAATGCAGGACCACTGTCTGATCCTAGGGTTAAAGGCAACCCAAATCTTGGTATGATGTCTTTTAGTAGCACCTTTGTCACCTCTCGTGCCCTTTCAGTTCTGGTGGGGAAGGCCTCAGCCTACCCTGAGAAGGTGTAAACAAACACTAGCATATACCAGTAACCTCCTGCTAGAGGTAACTCAGTGAACTCTACAAGCAGGTTCTCACAAGGAACAGTTCCTGCTTCCTGAATTCCGGGAAGTCGAGTAGGTCCTTGTTTTGGATTATTCCGGGCACAGGATAGACATTGTTCAAAAACAGCATGGGCGATGGCAGAGAGCCGTGGCACATAGAAATGCCGACCTATCAAAGTTTCTAGTCGTCCTTCCAATGTGTGTTCCTTGATGGATCTGCTTCACAAACCTTGGGGCTTTTGTTTCTGGGACAGCTAGCCTCCCGTCAGAGAACAGCCACCATCCATTTTTAATATATTTTCCTGTTTCCTGACCAAACCAAGCTTTTTCCCTTGAAGAGTAATTGGTTACCTCCAATAAAGGGGGCTCTATAAGGAGAGGCATTGCTAGAGTTCTTTCTTCAGGTAAAGCCTTTCTCATTGCTGCCTGCCTAGCCTCTTGGTCTGCCTTTCTGTTGCTGGGCACCTCATAGCTCTTCCCGATTTGGTGTCCTTTGCAATGAATAACAGCCACCTTCTCTGGAGCCCATATGGCTTCTAATAATTGCAAAATTTCCTCTTTATTTTTTATTTCTTTTCCTTCAGTAGCCAATAGTCCTCTCTCTTTGTGTATTGCCCCATGGGCATGCAGGGTTGCAAAAGCATATCTTGAATCATTACATATGTTTACTTTCTTCCCCTTGGCCAATAACAGTGCTCTGGTTAATGCTATTAATTCAGCCTTCTAAGCAGAAGTCCCAGAAGGTAAGGCTTGAGCCTCAACCACCGAGTATTGGGTCACTACTGCATACCCTGCATATCACACCTCATCTGTTATGAAACTGCTACCATCAGTGAAGTATTCAACATCTGGGCTCTCCAAGGTGGTATCTCTGAGATCTTCCCGGCTCGTTCACCGTATTTATGCAACAGTGGGGAAGGTCCTGCCAGCAGTGAGGCAACCCACCATCATTCCAATCAGGGTCCTCCACAGGCCGTATTTATAGTTTCCAGTGTTATCTGGGGATTTTCACACAGAAGCCCTTGATACTTTAGCATTCTAGAGTTGGACAGCCAACGATGTCCTCTTTGCTCCATTAAGGTGACTATAGCGTGTGGCACCCAGACTATTGTCTTCTGACCTAGGGCTAGCTTGTTGGCATCTTCTATAAGGATTGCCATAGCTGCCAGCGCCCTGAGGCAGTGGGGCCAACCTAAGGCCACCAAGTCCAGTCGCTTGGATAAGTATGCTACCGGCCAATGTCAAGAGCCCAACAACTGAGTGAAGACTCCAGCTGCCATTCCCTTCCGTTCATCCACATATCAAAAGAAGGGCTTTTTACATCTGGCAACCCTAGCGCCAGGGCTTGGATGAGAGCTTCCTTTATATCTTTGAAGGCCTTTTGCTGTTCCTTTTCCTATACGAGGGGCTCTCTTTCTTTTCCTTTGGTAGCCTCATATAAGGGCCTTGCTGTAAGGGAGAAGTTTGGAATCCAGATTCGGCAGAATCCCACTGCACCCAGAAATTTCTTGACCTGCTGCCTTGAAACTGGGGTGGGCAATGCACATACAGCCTCCTTGCATGCACTTCCAAGCCTGCGCTGGCCTTGGGATACCATGAATCCTAGATATCCAACCTCCCGAAAACAGACTTTTGCCTTGTCCCTGGACACTTTGTAAACTGGCCTGTATTCACCATTTGGCTTGCGCACAGGCAGCAGAGGAGTATTCCAGAAGGACTTGCATTTCACTATAATCCTATGTTCATACAGCCGATTTAAATGTTTTGTTATGCCATCAATTGCCTCTCTGGGTAGGGATATTGACGGACTCGTACCAGGGCAGCATGAGGGTTAAGCTCTACTACCACCAGGGGTCTGTTTGCAGCAAGTCCAGGGGGGTTGTCCTCAGCCTATACACCTGGTTCCTTGAAAAGCATTCCCCACTTATTGTGTAGGTCTGGCTCCGGTAGCCTTCTGGCACACAGTTCACAGAGCCGCCATTCCTCAGCCTTTGTGACAGTTAGAGTCAATACCATTGCCTTAGACTTTCCAAACTCCAGTGTCATATTCCCTTTAGGTGTAAAGGAAATTTGTGCCTGCAGTTTCTGGAGTAAGTCTCTTCCTAACAAGGGCACTCGACAATTTGGCATATATAGAAACTCATGCTGCACTTCTTGTCCCCTAATAATACATCTCCTGGATTTGCAAAAGGGTCTCTTTTCTTTGGCCCCTGTACCCCCTACGATAGTAGCACAGTTCTTTGTGGGGGGGGGCTAATCGGGTGGGTTACCACAGAGAAATCAGCACCAATATCGACCAAAAAAATCCATTGATCGGCCCCCTACTTCCATAGAGACCATAGGCTCCCCGGGGCCTAAAAGGATGGAGCCCGGTCTGTCTCAGTCTGCTAAATTCTCGGCCCCCCGCTAAGCCGATCAGATCAGGATCTGCCTCGGAAGCACCACAACTAGCAACCGAACGCCGCTCTTGGGTGTTAGGCCATTGACCATTCTCCTTACTCTTTTGACATTTATCCTTCTAGTGTCCTTTCCTTTTGCACCGTGCACATTAATCTCTCTCTAGCCTCGGCCGGCTTTCAAACTCCTGTCCAGACTAGCCTTTTCCATGACTGCGTTCACACCCGCGTCCATGTCTCCTTGCAAAGAGCCAGCTTCTCTTCCTGTAAGGGCTGCTGCTAGTAAATTAGCCTTTCTTAAGCCTCCGATCAGCTTTCTTCTTTGCCTCCTGATCTCAGTTAATGTACACCTTGGTAGCCACTTTAATAAGCTGAGTAGCATTCACACCTACGGAGCTTCTAACTTCTGCAATTTATGCCTAATATCTCCTTGGCCCTGACTTACAAATGTTGTATTCACCATGCACTGATTTTCAGCAGCCTTGGGGTTAAACGGAGTGTACACCCAAAATGCCTCACAAAGTCTTTCTTAAAACTGGCTGGTGCTTTTATCTGCACCCTGGAGCACCTCTGAGATTTTTTATATTGGTTGTCTTTTTCTTTTACTATCCTTTAGCTTTTGCAGAAGTGTTTCTCGGCACCTTCGTAGGTGTTGAAGCCAGACTGCATCATCTGGGTCCTAGTGGGGGTCCTTTTGTCCTCGTAAGAGGCGTAAGCATAACTTCGGCATGGCCAGACCTGAGACGGCCTACCTGACTTTTCTAGCTTTTCACTTTAACTTCCTGGAGCTCTGATTTCTCCTTCTGTGAGACTGGGAGCCTGTATCTCTTTGAACTTAACTCCTTAGGGGCAGTTAGCCTTAGTAAAGGGGGGTAGATTGGAATGTAGGGAGGAGGGGTCTCTATTCCCTCCTGTGGTTCTTGCAAAACCAGTTTTCTCCTTCCTCAGACTTTTCTTTTGTTTCCATAGCTGCCAGGGCAGCTGATTTTTACTTTCACTTTTGGCTTTTACTTTTCACTTTTTACTTTTGGAGTTACAAGCCTCTGTGACTTTCCCTTTAACTCTGTAGCCGTCAGAGCAGCTGGTTTCTCTTGGCATGAGCTGCGAGCATTCTACAATAAACTGCTAGGCAGGGCTGCATTCATTTAGTCATCAATGTAAAGACTAGGTCTGAATGCCCTGGCTGTCCTCTGACCCTAGTCACCACCTTAAAACACATGGCCAATTTCTCTGTAGTGCCTTCGGCCCGCCATCTGACACTAAAAGAGGGCTATTCTAATTCACAGTATGTCCTTAACTTTTGAGCATCCAGTTTCATCCCATAATCACCTCTAAATCTTTTTTTAAATTTTTTCATCATGCACTCCAAAGGAGTTGGTTTCAACACTTTTCCTCCCATTTCCTCCCTTGTGGCGCACTTTCACTCTCACTTTCACTCTCGGGTCCACTAGACTGGGTCCTATTATGGGAGTTTCAGAGGCTGCTTAGCCAGGAACGTGCCTTCCCCTCTCACAGCCTGCTGTGGCCATGGAGCTGGTCCTATCAGCTGTACACAACGTCCTAGGTCTGATTTCCCCCGCACTTGCCTCAGAGCACACAGCCCACGCTAAGGGATCTGTGCTTCCCCACGTCACTCCCCGCATTGGCCTCTCCCGAGACCGTCTCTTTCACACACTTTCACACATGTCCCCTGCCCCAGGACTCCTCATCGGACAAAACGGGCCTCTCCCGTGTCCTGGGTGAGCCTAGTTAGGCTCCCACATTCACACACCTACACACCACTCCTACCCCAGGACTCCTCATCAGACGAAACGAGCCTCTCTCATGTCCTGGGTAGGTCCACACACACACCCACACACTCCCAGTTGGGCTGGCAAGCCACTCTTGCACCCTGCCAGCAAGCTCTTCCTTGCTGCACTTGCCACTCTATTGGCCCATTTTCTCCACCACTGAGCCACTTTCACTTTATTAGGGGGACATGAGGTTCATCCAAATTGGCAGGCCACTCCTGCTGCCCCCCAGCCACTCTGGGTTGGATTAGTGGTCGGTCCCCGGGAGGTGATCAAGCTCCCCTTCATCCCTATGGGATGGGCTTTCCTGCCTTGGGCCCTTTCTCCTTACTGTGGTACCTGAAGTGCTGGTATCATGCTGCAGCCCCGTCTCCAGTTCCGTTGTGCAGCCAGCTAGGCCACTGGGATGCCGGGAGAGCCAGTCTCCATCCAGGTGAAGCTCCCCTACGGCACGCCTTGGATACCAGGTCTCCCCTGGCCGTGGGGCTCTAGTCCCACAGACAAAGGAGACAGTAAATCTGCCATCTCCAATCCCTGTCCGGGTCACCAGAAATGCTGCAGGATAATTAAGGAATCAGAGAGACCGAGGGGTTGAGGAGGAATTATTTAATTATTTAGATGCACCGACCTAGTCAGATTAACATCCAAAGGACTGAGCCCCAAACAAAGAGTCAAGCTATCTTTTAAGCATTTCGTGGGGCAGGGGGAGATCTGTGCAGGGGAAGCATATTACAGAAGTGGGAAACAAATACAGTTACTCAATTGAAACATGCATTACATTATTTCTTACTTTTCAAGGAACAACATGTTTTACCACTTGAGATTATCTGTCTAGTGACCTTGCAGCTGCACAACTAGAGAAACAGGGTCTTCACAATGCCTCGGAAAGGGAGAGATAAGACTCACTAGCCACAGAAGGAAAAACAGGCAGTTAATTTTAAAGGACTCCAGCTCTTTCTCTTCCTCAGGGGAAATTGGGTTTTCTTACATACAACTGAGTTTTTGCTTACACATTCTTTAATTTCTTTTAATTCCTGTTCCATCACAACTGTAATCCAAACATTTTGGGATGCCAAGGTGGGCAGATCAGGTGAGGTCAGAAGTTCAAGACCAGCCTGGACAACAGGGCGAACCCTATCTCTACTAAAAATACAAACAAACAAAAAAAAGGAAACATTACTCAGGCACGGTGGCCAGGCCCTGTAGTCCTAGCTACATGGGAGGCTGAGGCAAGAGAATCCCTTCAACCTGGGAGGTGTAGGTTGCAGTGAGCCAAGATTGCACTACTGCACTCCAACCTGGGCAACAGAGAGAGACTCCGTCTCAACAAAGGAAAAAAAAAAAAAGGAAAAAAGAAATTGTCTGGAGAACTGGCGAAATTTGAGTATACACTGTGTAATAAATGACTGCATTTTCTCATTGTTAAATTTCCTGATTTTGATTTTTCTGCAGTGATGACCAAGGAATTACTTTTTCTTTGTTCTGATGATGTACACACCCTCAAGTACTTGGTGTAAAGGGTCATAACACCTGAAAATTTATCGAAACAATTCAGCATTAATAACAGTAAACATATATCTGTATGTGTGTGTGTGTGAGTGTGTGGGAAGCAGGGTAAGAGAGGGAAGTGATATGAAACCTATGAAGCGAAAGCTATTAACAATTGGTGAATCTAGGTGAAAAGTATAGGAGTTCATTGTACTATTCTTGCAAATTTTCCATAATGTTATGCCTTGAAAATAGATACAGTAAAAATTTAAAAGAATATATGACAATTACACTGAACTTTAGGAAGACAGGAGGTTTTTTTTAATTATGGTAAAAAATACACATATTCTAAAATTTACCATCTTAACTATTTTTAAGTGGTACAGTTCACTAAGGAGTTATGTTTGCAACATTACCAGCAACTAGGCACAAACTTTGCATCTGTGTTTTCCTATACCATGAAACCTTTAGTTATCTGTTTGTTTGTTTGTTTGTTTATTTATTTATTAGTGATAAGGTCTTGCTATGTTTCCCAGGCTGGGCTTCAACTCCAGGGCTCAAGCAATCCTCTCACCTCAGACTCCCAAGTAGCTGGGACTATGCGTGCACAGCATTCAGCCCAGCTTGAGACCTTTCTCCTAAATGACAATCTAAGGATAAACCACAGGACATGTATAATGCTTATATTCAGCCATAGAGTACCGAGAGCAGTGTGCATCAGCTAAGAAATCTCAAGTCTACCACATGGATAGGATTTCGGTTACAATTACAATGTCAATTTCTGAAGGATCGATTAGCTGAATGGATTTGAGGACTATGGAAAATCTTACAGTCATGACACCCATTACTTATTGAGGTAAATAGAAACTTCATTTTGTTCAAATAAAGTTATATTTAGGTCCAAAGGTCCTAAATGTAATATTCCATAAATGAACCCCGTGAAGAACAAAGCACCAAATATAACATTGTTTGTGAATCACAGAAAATATACTGTCCCACACTGAGAATAAGGGAGTGGGAGGACAGCAATTAATGGGCATTGTTGTCAGTCAGATTCTAGAAATTTTTAACAGTGCATCCCTGGAATAATCCATGACCTCAGTTACATAAATGTTTTGTTTGAAAATATTTTATCTAGGAGAAATTATTTCTATCTCAATGTTAATCTCAGGATAATTCCTTTTTTGCTTTTTCTAACCATAAAAGGATTTAATCACCTCCTAAAAGCCACTTAGAAAATAACTAAACCAGCTACCTGTATGGCAGTATCCTCATTTATCCAGCTTTTATCAAATGTACCATATAAAAACATCAATCAAAGGAAACAGTGGCTGACATTCAGTGACTCGGTTTTTGGAGCTGCTCCTGCTCCTCTGAACTGGGTCTATTCTTGGGTCAGTACTAAGCTACCTTACAGTAAAGCCTTTGAGTTTTAAGCATTTTCAGCAAAATCATTTCCGTTTTTACAGCAACATAGATGGTAGGAAGACACAAACCTTGGAACAAAATACAAATTTTGTATTCACCAGTCAAGGGCTCTTGGATAAAACACAATCCCAGCGCCTCCATTTTCTCATTCATAAAGATGAGAACTTTTATCATAGTGAGGGATTTGCCTAAGCTAAGCTGCAAACTACATAGCCTCCTCGCTTTTCCAGTCAATTTCAGGCATTCTTTCCATTGTTTTCTTTCCTCCTCTTCCTCCTATGTGACAATGCCTAACACACACACACACACACGTGCACACACACACACACGAACACACACACACGCACACACCAGCAGACGTTCTTCTTCCCTTTCCCTCACCTTGACCTGCAGATGCTCCCTCATCCTCTCCCTCCTGAGCAGCTGCAGGATCCTGACGTTGAGTTGCTGGTTCCCCTTCTTCAGGTGTTGCTGGTTCCACTTCATCACTGAACTGCTCGGGCTGGGGAATACGTGTGGGTGTGCAAATAAAAAATAAGTTTCGTTATTGATACAAAATTTTACATATATACACAGAATACATAGCTATTTCTGGTCCTAACTAAGCCTAAAGACATTTCTCCAACTCTATGCTCTATGCCCAATAAGGTTACTCGACCCACAGGAAGGTTACTATGAGAAAAGTGACGCACGAGGACTTTGGAGGCTATTATACTCAGTGTTGGAATACATGTGTACAATCTGTCATTAACAAACAAAGCCTGAGAAAGAAGTCATGGGCAAAAGCTGAAGAACACTAGAGGAAAAAAAATTCTCCAGAATCAATGTTTCCTTCATGAGACGCCATCATCATTTTTTATGAGCAGGAAAGACCTTTATCAGCATTTCCATACTAATGCAACAATACTGTCACAAAAATTAATTTCTGCTAATAGAAAACAACGAATTAACGTTTAAGCACTCACCAGCATAGGCCCAATCATTTCAGGGGGCTCTACGTAGCGTCTTGGTCTAGGCCGATAGGTCGATCTTCCTCGCCAACTCATATTTCACACTGAAAACAGACAACCGTGATTGGGAACGTGCGCTCCACAGGGCTGCTATATTCGATCACCTCCATGGATAAATGTTAACTTGTCGTTTTAATTTTGAAAATACTTTCAAAATAAGTCCCAGAGTTAAGCATATGTGTGTACCTTTTCTGAGTGCCTACAAAGCCACTTATGCTGGCCAAGCTGGCAGAGCAATCATCTTAAGGCGTGTGACAAAACGCAGAGGACATTTTTTTTCTAAATTTCTTTTGGTCCCGCAGTCTCCCTGTGTTGCTCTGGCAGAGTGCAGCGGCGTGATCACAGCTCACTGCAGCATCGACCTCCTGCTCAAGGGATCCTCCCACCTCAGCGTCCCGAGTAACTGGGACTACAGGCGCAGGCCATGGCGCCCCACTGGCAGAGGTCATTTCTGATGAGGTTTAGTTTCACAAGTGGACTCCACATGAAAACATTAGTGAATCATAATTCTCGTGATTGCTACTTTGGGCACACTCCCACTTACTAGAGCCATTCACTTCTCTCAAATCAAGTTTGATTGGACCGCACAGCCTCTCCCAGTCCTTCCCACTGTTGCCAGACCTTCCATGGCGGAGGTGAGATCTTGCGATGCTTCTCACTCGGGGCTCCCCACTCCACAAAGCTCAGGGGCACTCACCAGCCCGCAGTCTTCCCAGGTGCCAGGTCCCTTCTTTATCGCCCTCCTCGCACCTGTCCGGGACCTCATTCAGGGATCTCCCCTGTATCGGGTATTCCTGGCACCTCCGGACTTCCATCCCTCTGACAGCACACCCAGCAATCGCCCCTTCTTCACCTGAGCCCCTGACCGCCTCCCCTCCATGGCCCACCTTCCTCCTTGTCCTGGCCCCTTCACGACCACAAAGCAGATGGTGGCCTCACAGCCTTTGAGAGAAGGAGGACGACCTCAAGGCCCTTCTCTTTCAGAGGCCAGGAGCCCCTTCCCTTTCAGAAGCCTCGAGGCCCTTCTCCCTCAGAGGCCACAGACCACGAAGCAGGACCCAACGGACTCACCCGAAGCACACTGCCTGCTCTTCACCCTCACTCACACTTCAGACCCCGGGAGGACTGGCCTGCAGACCTACCAGATGAATCTCAGTAGAGGAAAAATATTCCAGACGACAGGAACGAGACCACACACCCTCACAGCTCCCTGGCGTTCTCCACGTGGGTAAAGCGGCTGAGCAGAAGACGCCCAGTGGACATGCGCACTGAGGCGGGAGCCAAGGAGCATGTACAGCTGCGGGTTGGGGAAGGCTGCCGTTCCCAGCCCCACGCCCCCAACCCTCGATTCCCATCCCCACTGAGGATAATGGAATCTGACCTCCCTCTGCTGTTTCCTATGCCTCTGGGACTCAAGTAGTGCTCCCCTCAAAACTCACTCCATCTTCAACTAAACCCCCCTCCCCTCCAGGGCCCTCTCTTGCCCCGGCCCCACCATGGGGACAAGGACCACGGTGACTGCCTGAGAAGACAGGTAAACCACCTGCGAAAACAGAAATAGCAACCTACCCCAAAAAGAAATTGTTAAATGTGAACAAGTCAGAGAAAGAGACTGAAAGAAAAATGAATACAATCTCTAGGACCCATAAGAAAATACTAAAACGATATCTATCATTTGTAGCATCAGAATCACAGAAAGAGAAGTGCCAGTATTAGAGAAACAGGAGAGCCAGAGTGACACCATGTGAAAATCAACTCCATCTTGAAACTCGCAAGACACATTCCTTACCAGTCACAACCCATGGTCCTAAGATGTTTGGAGTTGAGAAAACAGACGAAAGGTACCTCCAAGGACATGCTCCCACAGCAGCAGAAAGTGCAGGGTTCTCAACACCCATAACAATATATGCTTTCAACATAATTATGCTTTCATGGACTTACACACTGGAAAGTCAAGGATAGTTTTCTTTAAATCAATAGAATGATAAATTTCATCATGCCCTTAGCACACCCTCACAAAGATACAGATAAGTTTAGTCTTTACATAGAGAAGACCCTTGTATAAGAAAAACTGGCCAGGCCAAGACTCATGCCTGTAGTACTAGTATTTTTGGAGGCTGAGCTGGGCAGATTGCCTGAGCTCAGGTGTTCGAGACCAGCCTAAGCAACATGAGAAAATCTCATCACTACAAAAAAAAAAAAAAAGAAGAAGAAAAATTAGCTGGGAATGGTTACATGTACCTATAGTCACAGCTACTTAGAAGCCTGAGGTGGGAGGATCACTTGAGCCAAGAAGGTCAAGGATGCAGTGAGCTCTGATAACACCACTGCACTCCAGCCTGGGTGATAGAATGAGACCCTGTCTCGATTTTTAAAAATAGAAGATAAAAATGTACAAAGTTATCAATCTAATTCACTACATTAACAGATGAATGGGAAAAAAATGCTGTTATAAACAAAATAGATGCACTGATGAAACTCAACATATATTCAAATGAATACTCTCAGCAAATTTGGAACAGAATGGAATGACTTACTCTGATAAAGTCCATCTACAAAAAAAGGACAGTAAATAGGATGGTGAAATGTTGAAATTTTTCGGTTTCTCATCAGGGATAAGACAAGGATATTGACTGTCACCATTTTAACAGGTGGGTCTGCACAATGCCATAAAATCAGAAAAGGAAATAAAACTCTTTACAATGGCAACAACAGGCCCGGCACGGTGGCCCACGTCAGTAATCTCAGCACTGTGGGAGGTGAGGCGGGTGCATCACTTGCACTCAAAAGTTCAAGAACAGCCCGGGAAACATGGCAAAACCCCGTCTCTACAAAAAATACAAAAGGAAAAAGAAAAAAAAAATGGCAGAAACAAAATTGTTCTTATTCAAGGATGGTATGATTCTGTATGTTGAAGACTGAAAACCATCTAGAAGTAAACTTTTAGAATTCATAAGCATATTTCACAAGGCTGCTGGATAGAAAATCAATATATAAGAATTATGTCTCGCCCGGGCGCGGTGGCTCACGCCTGTAATCCCAACACTTTGGGAGGCCGAGGTGGGTGGATCACGAGGTCAGGAGTTCAAGAGCACCCCGGCCAAGATGGCGAAACCCCGTCTCTACTAAAAATACAAAATCTGGCTGGGTAGGTGGTGGGCTCCTGTAATCCCAGCTACTCGGGAGGCTGAGGCAGAAATTGCTTGCATCCAGGAGGCGGGGGTTGCAGTGAGCAGAGATCACACCACTGCACTCTAGCCTAAGCAACAGAGTGAGACTCTGTCTGGAAAGAGAAAAAAAGAAAAAAAAAAAAGGAATGATGTCTCTGCATACCAGCTGAAACAGTTAGAATATAAAATTTCAAAGAATGATACATATTTCACAGCATCAGAAAGCTAGAAATAAAATTCACAAAAGATGCGCAAGACTACTTTGCAGAAGGCTGTAAAGCTTTATTGGGAGAATTTTAATGAACAAATTTCCAACATAGGAGCAGCCTGCATCATTTCAGCTTGTCTTCTTTTAACTCCGTGATTGCTTTTCACCTGTAACAGAAACATAACAACTGGGAACATTACTTAACAGCAGTTTATTTATATGATTCTAAAGGCATGTAAAGCATACTACAGTTTGGGTTTTATTAAATAGACAAAAAAACAGAACCCTAAAGGTGATCCTGTGTCTTACATCCAATTAAACCTCTGTATACACTTTGAGGGTAGACCTCCAGAATTTAAAGGTAATTTCTTACCTATACATCAAGTACCTCCTTTAAATTCAGAAGCACTTATAATGAATGGTCAGCAATTTGGAAAACACATATGTAAAACATATTTCAGTTGATTACTCAGGAAGTACTAAAGTCATGGTCTTTGAACTTCAAATCTTATCAACTCATGTCTCAAAATCTGAAACTTACGTGTAACATTTGATATGGTTAGAGGTGATTATATCACTCTATCCACAGTCTTATTAGAAACAGTGGCTCATGCAGACTGACTGTGGGGCAGGGAGCATGCTTAGCACAAGCATCTTACTCACACCCATCCTGAGCATCACTGACCTTCATGCCACAGAAAATAGAAACTAAACAATCTATCACCTTTTGATTATTCACTCACTCAAGGTTTCCTTTGTGAAAGATTTAAAAAGCAATTATTTATTAAGAGCCAGAGAATCCCATCCTGGGCAACATAGTGAGACCTCATCTCTACAAAACTTATATCAAAAAAACAAAATTAATCGGGCCACGGTGGCTTGTGCCTATAGTTCCAGCTACTCAAGAGGCTGAGATGGGATGATCGCTTGAGCCTGGGAGTCAGAGGGTGCAGTGAGCTGAAGTTGTACCACTGCACTCCCGCCTGGGTGACAGAGTGAGACTCTGTCTTAAAAAAAAAAAAAAAAAAAAAAAAAAAAAACAGCAGCAATAGCAAGATGGCCAAATAGTAATACCTCTGGTCTGCAGCTCCCAGTGAGATCAAGGCAGAAGGTGGGTGATTTCTGCATTTCCAGCTGAGGTACCCGGCTCATCTCACTGGGACTCATTAGACAGTGGGTGCAGCCCATGGAAGGCAAGCCGAAGTAGAGTGGGGCACTGCCTTACCGGGGAAGCAGTAGGGGTCGGGGAACTCCTTCCCCTAGCCAAGGGAAGTTATGAGGAACTGTGCTGTGATGAACGGTGCATCCAGGCCCAGATACTATGCTTTTCCCATGGTCTTCTCAACCCACAGACCAGGAGATTCCCTCCTGTGCCTATGCCACCAGGGCCCTAGGTTTCAAACACAAAACTGGGCAACCGTTTGGGCAGATATGGAGCTTGCTGCAGGAGTTGTTTTTCATACCCCAGTGGTGCCTGGAATGCCAGCAAGACAGAACCGTTCACTCCACTGGAAAGGGGGCTAAAGCCAGGGAGCCATGTGGTCTAGCTGAGCAGGTCCCACCACCACGGAGCCCAGCAAACTAAGATCCACTGACTTGAAATTCTCACTGCCAGCACAGCAGTCTGAAGTTGACCTGGGATGCTCAAGCTTGGTGGGGGGAGGGGCGTTTGTCATTACTGAGGCTTGAGTAGGCAGTTTTCCCCTCACATTATGAACAAAGCCTCCGGGAAGTTCAAACTGGGCAGAGCCCACGGCCGCTTGGCAAACCCGCTGTAGCCAGACTGCCTCTCTAGATTCCACCTCTCTGGGAAGGGCATCTCTGAAAGAAAGGCAGCAGCCCCAGGCAGGGGCTTATAGATAAAACTCCCATCTTTCTGGGACAGAGCACCTGGGGGAAGGGGCGGCTGTGGGCACAGCTTCAGCAGACTTAAATGTTCCTGCCTGCTGGCTCTCAAGAGAGCAGCGGATCTCCCAGCACAGCGCTCAAGCTCTGCTAAGGGATAGACTGCCTCCTCAAGTGGGTCCCTGACCCCCATGCCTCCTGACTGGGAGACACCTTCAAGCAGGGGCTGACACATACCTCATATACAAGAGCTCCGGCTGGCATCTGGCAGGTGCCCCTCTGGGACGAAGCTTCCCAGAGGAAGGAAAAGGCAGCAATCTTTGCTGTTCTGCAGCCTCTGCTGGTGATACCCAGGCAAACAGGGTCTGGAGTGGAACTCCAACAAACTCCAGCAGACCTGCAGCAGAGGGGCCTGACTGTTAGAAGGAAAACTAACAAACAGAAAGGAGTAGTATCAACATCAACAAAAAGGACATCCACACAGAAACCCCATCTGAAGGTCACCAACATCAAAGACCAAAGGGAGATAAATCCACAAAGATGAGGAAAATCCAGCACAAAAAGGCTGAAAATTGCAAAACCCAGAATGCATCTTCTCCTCCAAAGGATCACAACTCCTTGCCAGCAAGGAAATAAAACTGGACCGAGAATGAGTTTGACGAACTGTCAGAAGTAGGCTTCAGAAGGTGGGTAATAACAAACTCCTTCGAGCTAAAGGAGCATGTTCTTACCCAATGCAAGGAAACTAAGAGCCTTGAAAAAAGGTTAGAGAAATTGCTAACTAGAATAACTAATTTAGAGAAGAACATAAACGACCAGATAGAGCTGAAAAACACAGCACGAGAACTTCATGAAGTATACACAAGTATCAATAGCCAAATCGATCAAGCGGAAGAAAGGATATCAGAGACTGAAGATCAACTTAATGAAATAAAGCATGAAAACAAGATTAGAATAAAAAGGAACGAACAAAGCCTCCAAGAAATATGGGACTATGTGAAAAGACCAAACCTACATTTGACTGGTGTACCTGAAAGTGACGGGGAGAATGGAACCAAGTTGGATAACACCCTTCAGGATATTATCCAGTAGAACTTCCCCAACCTAGCAAGACAGGCCAAGATTCAAATTCAGGAAATACAGAGAACAGCACAAAGATACTTCTTGAGAAGAGCAACCCCAAGACACATAATCATCAGATTCACCAAGGTTGAAATCAAAGAAAAAATGTTAAGGGCAGCCAGAGAGAAAGGTCGGGTTACCCACATAGGGAAGCCCATCAGACTAAGAGTGGATCTCTGCAGAAACCCTACAAGCCAGAAGAGAGTGGGGGCCAATATTCAACATTCTTAAAGAAAAGAATTTTCAACCCAGAATTTCATATCCAGCCAAACTAAGCTTTATAAGCAAAGGAGAAATAAAATCCTTTACAGACAAGCAAATGCTGAGAGATTTTCTCGCCACCAGGCCTGCCTTACAAGAGCTCCTGAAGGAAGCACTAAATATGCAAAGGAAAAACCAGTACCAGCCACTGCAAAAACATACCAAATTGTAAAGACCATTGACACTATGAAACTGCATGAACGAATGGGCAAAATAACCAGCTAGCATCATAATGACAGGATCAAATTCACACATAACAATATTAACCTTAAATGTAAACGGGCTAAATGCCCCAATTAAAAGACATAGACTGGCAAATTGGATAGAGTCAAGACCCATCGGTGGGCTATATTCAGGAGAGCCATCTCACATGCAAAGACACACATAGGCTCAAAAATAAAAGGATGAAGGAATACTTACCAAGCAAATGGAAAGCAAAAAAAAAAAAAAAAAAAAAAAAAGCAGGGGTTGCAATCCTAGTCTCTGATAAAACAGACTTTAAACCAAAAGAGACAAAGATCAAAAGAGACAAAGAAGGGCATTACATAATGGTAAAGGGATCAATGCAACAAGAAGAGGTAACTATCCTAAATATATATGCACCCAATACAGGAGCACCCAGATTTATAAAGCAAGTTCTTGGTCAGGCGCGTTGGCTCATGCCTCTAATCCCAGCACTTTGGGAGGCCGAGGCGGGTAGATCACAAGGTCAGAAGATCGAAACCATCCTGGCTAACATGGTGAAACCCTGCCTCTACTAAAAAATACAAAAAATTGGCCAGGCGCGGTGGCTCACGCCTGTAATCCCCGCACTTTGAGAGGCCGAGGCGGGCGGATCACGAGGTCTGGAGATCGAGACCATCCTGGCTAACACGGTGAAACCCCGTCTCTACTAAAAATACAAAAAAATTAGCCAGGCATAGTGGCAGGCACCTGTAGTCCCAGCTACTCGGGAGGCTGAGGCAGGAGAATGGCGTGAACCCAGGAGATGGAGCTTGAAGTGAGCCGAGATTGCGCCACTGCACTCCAGCCTGGGTGACAGAGCGAGACTCTGTCTCAAAAAATAAATAAATAAATAAATAAATAAATAAATAAATAAATAAAAATAAAGCAAGTTCTTAGAGACCTACAAAGAGACTTAGACTCCCACACAATAATAGTGGGAGACTTTAACACCTCACTGGCAATATTAGACAGATCAGTGAGACAGAAAATTAACAAGGATATCCAGGACTTGAACTCAGCTCTGGACCAAGCGGGCCTAATAGACATCTACAGAACTCTCCACCCCACATCAACAGAATATACATTCTTCTCAGCACCACATCGCACTTATTCTAAAATTGACCACATAATTTGAAGTAAAACACTCCTCAGCAAATGCAAAAGAACAGAAATCATAACAAACAGTCTCTCAGACAACAGTGCAATCAAATTAGAGCTCAGAATTAAGAAACTCACTCAAAACCACACAACTACATGGAAACTGAACAACCTACTCCTGAATGACTACTGGGTAAATAATGAAATTAAGGCAGAAATAAAGTTATTTGAAACCAATGAGAACAAAGACACAATGTACCAGAATCTCTGGGACACAGCTAAAGCAGTGTTTAGAAGGAAATTTATAGCACTAAACGCCCACAGGAGAAAGCGGGAAAGATCTAAAATCGACACCCTAATATCACAATTAAAAGAACTAGGGAAGCAAGAGCAAACAAATTCAAATGCTAGCAAAAGACAAGAAATAACTAAGATCAGAGCAGAACTGAAGGAGACAGAGAGGTGAAAAACCCTTCAAAAAATCAACAAATCCAGGAGCTGGTTTTTTTAAAAGATTAACAAAATAGATAGACTGCTAGCCAGATTAATAAAGAAGAAAAGAGAGAAGAATCAAATAGACACAATAAAAAACAATAAAAGGGATATCAGCACTGATCCCACAGAAATACAAACTACCATCAAAGAATACTATACATACCTCTACACAAATAAACTAGAAAATCTAGAAGAAATGGATAAATTCCTGGATACATACACCCTCCCAAGACTAAACCAGGAAGCATTCGAATCCCTGAATAGACCAATAACAAGTTCTGAAATTGAGGCAGTAATTAAAAACCTACCAACCAAAAGAAGCCCAGGACCAGATGGATTCACAGCCAAATTCTACCAGAGTTACAAAGAGAAGCTAGTACCATTGCTTCTGAAACTATTCCAAACAATAGAAAAAGAGGGACTCCTTCCTAACTCATTTTATGAGGCCAGCATCATCCTGATACCAAAACCTGGCAGAGACACAACAAAAAAAGAAAATTTCAGGCCAATATGATACCTCATGTATCATTGGGGTGATAATGATCAATTGTAACAAATGCACCACGCTGGTGAGGGTTGCTGATAATGGGGAGGCTGTGCATGTGTGGAGGTGAGGGGTATATGGGATATGTCTGTACCTTCCTCTCAGGTTTACTGTAAACCTAAAACTGCTCTTTAAAAAAAAAAAAGTCTTTTTTAAAAAGAAGAAGATAAAGTTGCCAGGTCCAGATGGTTTCACTGGCAAATTGTGTCAAACATCTAAGAAGAAATAATACCAATTCTACAAAATCTCTTCAAAAAATAAGACAGGAACACTTCTCAAATAGCATTACCCTGATACCAAAACCAGAAAAAAAGAAAGTATGGGAAAAGTACAGCCCAACTTCCTTCATGAACATAGATGAAAAAAAAATCCTCAACATAATATTACCAATTCAAATCCAATATACAAAAATAAGACACCATGACCAAGTGAGGCTTATCCTGGGGATGCAAAACTGACACAATATTCAAAAATCAATCAATGTGACCGGGTGCAGTGGCTCATGCCTGTAATCCCAGCACTTTGGGAGGCTGAGGTGGGGGGATCGCTTGAGCCCAGGAGTTCGAGATGAGCCTGGCCAACATGGGGAAACCCCATCTCTACTAAAAATACAAAAATTAGTCAGGTGTGGTGACACACACCTATAGTCCCAGCTACTTGGGAGGCTGAGACACGAGAATTGCTTGAACCCAGGAGGCAGTTGCAGTGAGCTGATACAGCACAACCACACTCCGGCCTTGGTGACAGAGAGACTCTGTCTCAAAAAAGTAAAACAAATTAAAATAAAATAAAATAAAAATCAATAAATGCAATCTACCATACTGACATTCGAAAGTAACTGAACCACATAATCGTATCATGTCATGCAGAAAAAGCTTCTGACAAAATTCAACATTGATTCATGATCTTAAAAAAAACTCTTAGCAAACAAGAAGATAACTTTCTTAACCTGATATAAAGCATCCACCAAAAAAAAAAAAAAACCTACAGCTTAGATCATACTTTTTTTTTTTTTTTTTGAGACATATTCTCGCTCTGTTGCCCAGGCTGGAGTGCAGTGGCACGATCTTAGCTCACTGCAAGCTCCACCTCCCGAGTTCACACCATTCTCAGCCTCAGCCTCCCGAGTAGCTGGGACTACAGGCGCCTGCCACCACGCCTGGCTAATTTTTTGTATTTTTAGTAGAGACGGGGTTTCACCGTGTTAGCCAGGATGGTCTCGATCTCCTGACCTCATGATCCACCCCCCCTCAGCCTCTCAAAGTGCTGGGATTACAGGCGTGAGCCACCCTGCCTGGCTTAGATCATACTTAATAGAGAAAAACTAAATGCTTTCTCCCTAAGATCAGAAATGAGGCAAGAATGTCCACTCTTACTCCTGCTATTCAACATTGTAATTGAAAGGCCTGACCAGCTGCAGTGGCTCACGCCTGTACTCCCAACACTTTGAGAGGCCGAGGTTGGCGGATCACTTGAGCTCCGGAGTTCGAGACCCCTGGGCAACACGGCGAAACCCCATCTCTACAAAAAATACAAAATTTAGCTGGGTGTGGTGGCACATGTGTCTGTAGTGCCATCTACTCGGGAGGCTGAGGTGGGAGAATCACTTGAGCCCAGGAGGTCAAGGCTGCAGTGAGCCGCTATCTCAAAAAAAAAAAAATGTAGTGATGGAGTGTTGCGTGGGTGAGGGGGTGAGGAGAGGGAGTGACTCTAAGGGGAGGCACAATGGAGTTCTTTAGGGTAATAGAACTGTTCTGAATACTAATTACAGTGGTGGTTACATGAATCTACACATATTAAAATTCATAGAAACTCCCCCAAAGTAAATTCTACTGTGACAATTTTTTAAATAAATTTTTTAAATGGTATCAATCAAGCAGTTGAAAATCCTTGTGTGGGGTTTTGCTTGTTTGGTTGTTTGTTGTTGTTGTTTTGAGACAGGGTCTCATACCTTCACCCAGGCTGGAGTGCAGTGGCCCGATCTTGGCTCACTGCAACCTCTGCCTCCCAGGCTCAAGTGATCCTCCCTCCTCCGCCTCTGAGTAGCTGGGACTATGGGCGCATGCCACCATGCCTAGCTAATTTTTGTATTTTTTGTAGAGATGGGGTTCTCCATGTTGCTCAGGCTGCTCTCAAACTCCTGGACTCAAGTGATCCTCCCACCTCGGCCTCCCAAAGTGCTGGGGTTTCAGACGTGAGTCACCGCGACTGGCCAGAATCCTTGTTTTCTGTAAAACTGTTTTAACACAGGTGTATGTATGCCTAAATACTAGTTTTGTTTGGTTTTGAGCCATATATGAAAAGCATATATCATCTCCTCTTTTGTATCTGGCTTCTTTCACCTAACATTGTGTCTTTGTGTACCTTAGTTCACTCCATCTCATAGCTGTGTAGTATTCCATGATGTCAATACAGCATAATTTACTTATGCATTTCCTGATGATGTATAATTGGGTTGTTTCCAGTATTTTGCTATTACAAATAGTTTTACTATATAAACATTCCTGTGTCTCTCCCAAGTTTACATATATGGGAAACAATGCTCACCACAGATAGTTTATAGTGGCAAAAAAGCAAATCGAACACTACCTAAACATCCAATAGGAGTATAATAATAAATGATGGCATATCATGCAAATCACATCAGGTGAGTCGTTATTTGGATAAATTATCCAAGTGTTAACCTGGTGGCTGTTGTGATGATGACACATGGCTGTAATGACTGCATGTGGGTCACAGTAACTCACATGAGCTCACTGTGAGCTCTTGGAGCATCTTGGGGCTCCCCGTGGGCAGAGATGAGGACCAACAGGAAAGAATAGTGGCACAGTGGCTGGCCACCCCAGAACACTACAGAGACAACCTCACCTGGTCCCCAGCCCACGGTTCTGCTCACAGACTCAGAACTTCCCCCACCTGACTGTCCTGAGCACTTTGAGGAAGGCAGCCCCGGCCATGCCTGAGGTGGCCGCATCCATCCTTCCCCACCAACCCTGACCTGCTCCTCCTCCTCTTGAGCCAAATCTACTTTCTCAACGCCTCGGCTCCCCTCCATTCACGAGCATCCCCTGCACGTTGGGGGTGTAATGATGCCCATTGCACAGGTGAGGAGACTGAGCCCCATAGAGGGCAGCAGCTGGGCCTGCAGCTGCACAGCAGTGTCAGTGGGCCTGTGCTAGGTGGGGCGTGCCTCACCCCACAGCTGTGCATCCCTCAAGCCATACAGAGATTGTCTCCTGCCTCCTCTTTCGAGGGATCCTCCCGGCCCGTGTCTCCCCCAGACCACCAGGCCTGGAGCTTCTAGACCCGGCGTTCAGGCCCTGGGAGAGGACTGGGTGGAGGCGGAGCTGGCAGCTGGCCAGGATCTGGCTGGGGGGTTGGTGGCCTTTTCCTGAGCCCCAGGCTCTGTTGGGGCTGTCTCCAGTGTCTTCAGGATCCAGGCTGGTGCCCTCAGCCAACCTGGCCAACCTGGCCAACCTGGCCAATCTATAGCCTGACCTGCCCTGGGCACAGGCCTCAGAGCCAGTGCATCTTGTGGAAAAATCCTATAATGGACCCTTTAAGTGAGATAAAGAGGATTAAAAATATGAGAACCTCTCTTTAGTGATGGAAATGAGTTCCTGGTAGAAGGAAAAAGAGGAAGAGGAGGAGGAGGAGAGTCATCTGTAGAAGACCCCGAACAACAGTAAAAGCCAGGCCCTCGGCTGCCCCCACCTGTCCACATGCAGAGAGGGAGGCTCCAAGGGACACCCAGCCTGGAGCTCATGCACCCTGAGGCCTGTGACCCTACAAGCAGTTAACGTTTAAGACTGTTCCCGTCTTCTCTGAGGCTTTCCCTGTCTTGGAGATAAGATGCCCCCTGCTGGCAAAGGCAGGTATCACTGTAGGGTGGCCGTCCATGGCTGCGCTGTTGGAGACACCAAGACCTCACCGTGGGACCAGACGCTTTAGTCAGGCTTCCCTGACTGAAAGGAAAAAGTCACTTTGACTTAGCAGGAAGCTCAGGTTTGGACTTGGTCTCATCCTGGACAAAAAACACTGAAGAGGGGAAGCAGAGGGGTTGTAGGATGCGGGTGGGTGATAGCAGGGCTGAAGGCTGAGGACAGAGAGAGAAGGGGCCACTGTGAGACTAAGATGCTGGCCCTAGTCACAAGGAGGAGGGAGAGGTGGACCAGGAAGGCCTCGGCAAAGGGCTGAGCTCAGGGCTGATAAGAACATGGAAGGCCCTCACCTGTAAATGGGTGATAAAAATAGAGTTTATCTAGTAACTGACCACTAAAATTTTAAAAAAGAAAAGTAGGGCCAGTCGTGGTGGCTCATACCTGTAATCCTAGCACTTTGGGAGGCTGAGGCGGGTGGATCACCTGAGGTCAGGAGTTCGAGACCAGCCTGGCCAACATGGTGAAACCCTGTCTCTACTAAAAACACAAAAACTAGTCGGGCATGGTGGTGCATGCCTGTAATCCTAGCTACTCAGAAGGCTGAGGCAGGAGAATCTCTTGAACCCAGGGGGCAGAGGTTACAGTGAGCTGAGAATGTGCCACTTCACTCCAGCCTGGGAGAAAGAGCGAGACTCCGTCAAGAAAGAAAGGAGAGAGACAGAGAGAGAGAGAGAGAGAGAGAGAGAGAGAGAGAGAGAAAAGTAGGCTGGACGTGCTCATGCCTGTAATCCCAAAACTTTGGGAGGCTGAGGCAGGTGGATTGCTTGAGCTGAGGAGCTCGAGACCAGCCTGGGCAACATGGCAAAACCCTGTCTCTAGTAAAAATATAAAAATTAGCTGGGCATGGTGGCATGTGCCTGTAGTCCCAGCTACTCGGGAGGCTGAGGTCGGAGGATCACTTGAACCCAGGAGGTTGAGGCTGCAGTGAGCCGTGATTGTGCCACTGCACTCCAGCTTGGGTGACAGAACAAGATTGCGTCTCAATTTTAAAAGACAGATGTACAAACTTATCAATGTAATTCACCACATTAACAGATTAATGGGAGAGGGCAGGGTGGGGGCATAACAGTGATTGCAAGAGCTCCAGCCAGGGGGAATGACAACGGGCGTGTACTCAGTCTTGCCCTGTGCCTGGCACTGCTCAGTGACTGAAGAGTCATCTCACCTCTTCCTCACTTAACCCTGTGAGGAGGAAAAGTTATTACCCTGATGACAGACGAGCAAAGGGAGGCACAGAGGGCTGAAGCCACTTGCCCACTGTGTGACCCTGGGCAATTTAGTCCCAAACTGTGTCGCTCCAGCCCCTGTTCCTGTCCACCCTCCTACCCTGCCTTGACTATAAGACCTGTCTAACATGGGCTCAGGAGGAGGGCAGTACAACGTTTTCCCCAAAGCCTGCACCTACCCTGCTTGATGGGCATTAGCCCCCTTTATGAATGGGGAACTGAGGCTGGTCTAGGACGGGTGACTTGCCCAAGGTCACACCACCAGGGCTCGGGGTTCCAGGCTTTTATGAGGCCCACCAGGCCCCAAAGCCCATGTGTCCTGGGCTATTGTGGGTGTGAATGAGGCCTGAGGGGAGATGGACCCCAACATCTGAGGACAATATGGGCAGGTCCTGTCCATCCCAAGAGGCCCCACTCTATGGCTGGTGTCAGGGGCACACGATAGAGGATTCCCCACTAGTCGATCTCCACAAACAGAAGGCAAGACCCGGAGCCCAGGGATTGTTCTGCAGGAAGGAGGCCGCCTACACTGTGGTTCACACCAGGAGGCTGGAGTCTCTGCAAGCCTGTGTGCAGGAGTCTCGGACACTCATGCTACTCCCACTTCCCACTGCACTCTGCTTCACTTGTGAGGTCTTTGCATAAGAGTGTATAAAACCTAAATGTATGGGGGGGGTTGTTTTGTTTTTTTGAGACAAGAGTCTCGCTCTGTTGCCCAGACTAGAGTGCAGTGGTGCGATCTCGGCCCACTGCAACCTCCACCTCCTGGGTTCTAGTGATTCTCCCGCCTCAGCCTCCCAAGTAGCTGGGATTACAGGCGCCCACCACCACGCCCGGCTAATTTTTATACTTTTAGTACAGACGGGGTTTCCCCACATTGGCCAGGCTGGTCTCGAACTCCTGACCTCAAGTGATATGCCTGCCTCAGCCTCCCAAAGTGCTGGGATTATAGGTGTGAGCCACCGCGCCCAGCCCATAAGTCTGTTTTAATGATGATGAATAAATTGCACATCCATGAACAGTCTCCCAGGTCAAGCAGTGAACCATTATTGACATCCCAGAAGTCCTCTGGGCCCCTTCTCAGCCACATCCCTCCCTCTGCCAGAGGTGAACACTATCCTGACTCTGGTAATCAGCCCCTCGCTTTTCTTTACAATGTCACCATTTAGGTGGTAATTCATGAGTTTTGCCTGCTTGTGAACTTTGCATAAATGGATCAGTGTGGAAGCTTTTTTTTGGCTTTTTGTGATTCATCTGTATGCTTTCGTGCAGTTATGGATCTTCCATTCTCATTATACAATATTCCATTCTGCGAATATACCACAATTTATTTAGATGCTTATTGGCATCTAAGGTTTGAGCCCTTCATCAGTTATATGTGATTCCATTATCTCCTCCCAATTTTTCACTTGTGTTTTCACTCCTTTTTGTTTTGCTTTTATTCATAGCAACCTACTACATAAGGTTTTCACTCTCTTTATGGTGTCTTTTGATCAATGGACATTCCTAATTTTAAGGTCACTGAATGTTTCGTAATTTTCATTTATGGTTGTTTCTGTGTCGTGATGAAGAAAAACTTTGCTACCATGAGTATACGAAGGTGTTTTGCCTTGTTTTTTGTTTTGTTTTGTTTTTGAGATGGAGTCTCGATCTGTGGCCCAGGCTGGAGTGCAGTGGTGCCATCTCGGCTCACTGCAACCTCTGCCCCCTGAGTTCAAACGATTGTCCCGCCTCAGCCTCCCAAACAGCTGGGACTACAGGTGGATGCCCAGCTAATTTTTGTATTTTTAGTAGAGACGGGGTTTCACCATGTTGGCCAGGCTGGTGGTCTCAAACTCCTGATCCGCCCATCTAGACCTCCCAAAGTGCTGGGATTACAAGAGTGAGCCACAGCACCCGGCCCTGCCTCATTGTATTCTTAAAGCGCTTTGGTTTTGCCCTTCGCATTTAGGCTTTAAACCCACTTAGAATTATTTTTATTTGTGTTGTAAAGTAGGGATCCAAGTTCATATTTTTCAATGCGGGTAACCAATTGTTCTATTTATTCAAAATCCAATCATTTCCCCACTGGTCTAACACACTTCCTTGGTCACCAGTTCTGTGTCTACACGAGTGTGTCTACACTGTTTCCGAGATCACTGTTTTTTTATTGGTCGATTTGTCTACTCTTGCAAAAATATCGTGCCATCTGAATATACCATTACAATAAGTATCAGTGTCCTGGCTAGTCTTGGCACTTCTACATAAATTTAAGAATTAATGTGTCATGATCTACACACAGGCAAAACTCTATTGGAATTGTGGTTGGATTTGCATTGAACCTACAAAGCAGTTTCAAGAGAACTGACAGCTTTGCACAGTGGCCAGTGAGGAAGAAGGGAAATGAGGAGAGTGTGGTATCTTGGAAACCAAGTGAAGAAAGGGTTGCAAGGTAGAGATGATCAACTATGTCAAATGCTGCCAATATCCCAAGTAAGATGACATCTGAGACTTAACCATGGCTATAACAATGTGAATATCTTCAGCAGTTTTGCTGAAATGGTTGGGCAAAAAAGATCTGATTGGGGCTATTTCAGAAAGGCATCATAGAAGAACTGAAGAAAGCTCGTATAGATATTTCTTCCAATAGGTTTTGCTGTAAAGGGAAGTAAATAAATATGTGGTGTTTTATTTTGTTGAGCAGTTTTTTATTTGCATGCAATAAATATATATCTTTCTTTCAAAGCTTCTGGGCTTCCTGTTTTTAGTAGAAATGTGATGTCTGTGGACAGCAACTGTGCTACCAAGTACTGCAGTACATTAACTCCTCTTTCCTTTCTGAGGCCTTCCTTATCTCAGGGACTAAGGGGTCTCCCTGCTGGTGTCAAAGGCTGTTTTTTCAGTAACCTCAAAACCTTGTGGCTGATTCACAACTGATGTCCCCACATCCACAGGAGACCACAGCTACCACTGCAACCATGTGACTGACACCAAACCCTCATGTGGCTGCCACTCTTCCTCCCTGGCTCCCACCACCACCATCCAAATACACACCTGTAGGGTCCCACAGGCAGAATGTGGAAAAGACAAAGAACCATATGGATTAGGACCACGAGACGAGGAGACACACATCTTCAAGGAAAGACATGTTGAAGCAGCAGCAGGCGACCACGTCCCACCCCCAACTCCCCACTGTGATCCTCCCACAGAAAGTGACCACCCTGCACACTCATGCCCAAACAGGAGAACACTACACCGCAAGACACTGTTTCTCATAGAGCTCTATTGTGGCATATAATAATAGGTACTCTATATAAATTAAATTAAAAATAAAGCTCCAGCAGGTTGCACAGGTTGGCTGTTAATAAATATATCTCTGGGTAATTGTGCCCCAAGACCAGCTCACGACCACTCTCCCTCATCCAGAGAATTATACAAAAATAAATACAGGCTCGGGGGGTAGGCGGAGGACATGCCCAGTTCCACTCTAAAAGTTCCCCTCACTCACACCATCTACCCGTTCCCTCATCTCCACTGGTGTCACCACAGGGAGCCCTGTGTTGACTGGAGAGCTTGGGGATGAGAAGGCCTCTCTTTCAGTTGAGCATTCTCAGAAGCAAAGGACCCAGGTCCCCTCACTGCACAGGCCATGTATCCCATCTTAAGCCTCTGCTGATCCCACAAGCAGAGCCTATGAGAACCAAGCCAGAGAGAGGCACAGCGCAAGCACCAGGAGGGACACACCGCTGTTCAGAGCCACAGGGACCACCACTAGCCCGGCCAGGACCCCCAGAGTCTGGGTCAAGGGCCCCCGGAGCTGAGGAGGCAGTGCACACACACATTCTGCAGGGACTGCTAGGGTGGGAGACTTCTTTGGGGGTTCAAGGCTTGGGCCTGCATCCTTTTCATCCTGGGAGCTCACATGAGGCCTGGCTACACTAGAGAGACAGACTTCGGCCCCCAAGGGACTGAGGAGGGTGGGATTTTGCCCCTGCAGAAGGACGGGAGAGGCTGGCTCCTTGCCAGATATGGGATCCAAGCTGCCTGCCCACTCACTGGTGACCTCTATCTGGGCTTCTGTCCCGGCCTCCCCCAGGGACTCAGTCACCCCAGCTATCACCCTATTCATGTGCAAAGAGCTGGTGTCCTTGCCCATCCCTTTCTCAGGATCCCCAATGAACTGACCCTCTGTACCCAGAACCACAGGGCCGTCACATCCTGAGCCCTCTGCCCATGGGAGCCACACATCTCCCATCGTGGCTACCACAGAACGGGCCCCGGAGAGGATTTCTGGAGGCGATTCCTTGGGGCTGTCCCCTTCTGGGCTGGAGGGTGTGACAGAGAGCCCCTCTTCACCCTCCCCTTCATCATCAGGGTCTTCGGTGTCCTTGATGAGCTCCACGCCACGCCCCAGCCGGGCATAGTGCAGCGTGATCTCCTCAGCCAGGGCGCTGTTCAGGGCCCGCTCAGGGCCAGGCCACTTCAAGATCAGGTCGCGGTCCGTCAGTATGCCCAGGGGATGGCTGGGGGACATCCCTCCATCTGTGGAGCCCTCCCCACCACCCCCTGCCCCACCCGCAGCCACAGCAGCCCGTAGGCGGCTCAGGTGAGACAGGTAGAGCTGCTCCAGCTCCTGGTCGATGGTGTCCTCACCGAGCAGCTCCTCTGACCCACTCACAGCCTCCAGCCCCCCTCCATTCTCACTCGATACTCCCCATGTGGCCTCTGCCTGCTGCTGACTGGGCTCCAGGAAAGGCCCGGTGGCCCCCTCGCTCGCATCGGGCCCTGAGGCCTGGTCTCTGGGGGAGCCACCCAGGCCACAGAGAGGGGAGGAGGGGGGAATCCTGATGGCCGGTGCCTGGAGGACCTCTGTAAAAGCCACAGGTGGACTGCTTCTGGGGACATCACCTTCTTCTGCGGGGTTGCCAGTCATCGGAACGTCAGAAACCTGGAGCCATGGCCGGGGCAAGGGGGCAGAGAAAAAGCAAGGGAATGAAGCAGAGGAGGGGATGGAACAAGCAGAGACAGTAAGAAGTGTGACAGCCCACAGCCAGCCCCACAGGGGTTTCTATATAAAAATGCCTTAAAGCGCCCTCTGTCACTGTCTAGACTCCAAAGACTGTCATCTATGGTAAAATAACACAATTGGATGCAGTAAAACAGGGCTTCTTGCAGATTATAAAGCTGAGGAATTCGGTGGGTGTGAATATTTGGTGAATGATCATCACTAAATACTGCTGGCTTACCTTCAAAACAGAGCCAGTTAAAATAACTAAAAGTGTAAGTAGCCAGGCACAGTGGCTCTCACCTGTAATCCAAGCACTTTAGGAAGCCAAGGCGGGCGGATCACATGAAACTAGGAGTTCGAGACCAGCCTGGCCAACATGGTGAAACCCCGTCTCTACCAAAAATACAAAAATTAGCTGGGCGTGGTGTTGTGCGCCTGTAATCTCAAGAGGCTGAGGCAGGAGAATCACTTGAACCCAGAGGGCAGAGATTGCAGTGAGCCGAGACTGTGCCACTGCACTGCAGCCTGGGCGACAGAGACTTTGTCTCAAAAAAAAAAAAATAAAGAGTGTAAGTGGATTGTTTGTAACACACAGGATAAATGCTTGAGGAGATGCATACCTCATTCTCCATGATGTGATTATTACACAATGCATGCCTATATCAAAACATCTCCATAAATATATACACTTACTATGTCCCCTCAAAAATTAAAAATTAAAAAAATTTTAAAAAAAATAAAATGCAAAAAAATCCCAAAACATAGCCAGGATGTCCATATGAACCCATGATGTATCATCTTCTCTTTAAAAAACAATTATTTCCTAGCTCCATCTTTTGAAAGGGCCTAGAAACAATGACCAATCTAGTAGCAGCAAGCATGCCGAGCCCCCAAATCTTGGCCTTTGAATGCCACTCTCCACTGAAAGGAATCAGTGCTCCTTAAAGAAATAGCTGTTTCTGGCCAGGCTCAGTGGCTCACGCCTGTAATCCCAGCACTTTGGGAGGCCAAGGCAGGTGGATCACCAGGCAGGTCAGGAGTTCAAGACCAGCCTGGCCAACATGGTGAAACCCCATCTCTGCAAAAATACAAAAATCAGCCGGGTGTGGTGGCATGTGCCTGTAATCCCAGCTACTCAAGAGGCTGAGACAGGAGAATTGCTTGAACCCAGAAGGCAGAGGTTGCAGTGAACCGAGATTGTGCCACTGCACTCCAGCCTGGGCGACAGAGAAAGACTCTGACTCAAAAAAAAAAAAAAAAAAAAGAAAGAAAAAGAAAAAAGAAAGAAAGAGAGAGAGAGAGGAAAGAAAGGAAAGAAAAATAAAGTAAAAGAAAAGAAAGAAAGAGAGAGACAAAGGAAAGGAAAGAAAGAAAGGAAAGGTAAGGAAAGAAAGGAAAGGAAAGAAAAGAAAGAAAAAGAAAAAGAAAATAAAGAAAAGAAAAGCAAGAAAGAAATGGCTGTTTCCAGGCTTGGGGCAGGGAGAGTACAGGATGAACCTAGCACATATTGTCATGGAAGATGTGAGAAAGGCTCACAGAATGATGAGGGCGTGTCAAAAGGACAGAGTAGCCCATCTCAATAAGCTCCTACTAGCCAGGGATAGTTCAATTTAAGCATCAAAAAAAGCAAACAAATAAGTGCAATGGATTGAAACTCATTCAAATATGTTTAGAATTCATGAGTTCATAATGACACAAAACCAAAAATCCTTTTATTGGTCACCTTTGTAGTAGTACTTCTCTGAAAACTGGTAAATAAAATGGAAAAAATTAAATATTTACACTGCTTTTTCTGCACAAACTATATCTCAAAGTAGCCAAATAGCTGGTGTGGGACAGTTTTTCTTTAGAGAAGAATTCTAGCTAATAAAGGAAGTGGGAATAATAGAATTAAATAGAGTTAATTCTAGTTAATTTAATAATAAAAGATTAAATACATTCGTTTAATACAATTTGATAAATTAAATAAATTTAATAAGATTACATTAATTAATATAATTAATAAATTAATAAAAATGGAGTAAGAAATGTATTTCCACCTGGATGTAATCAGCCAGACCCAGACTGGAAAATTCTACAGGACAAGCAAAGTTTCTTCAACCAACAAATTGCAAAGAAACAAAGTGGGGGAGATTTTAAAAATCTAAAGAGACACATCAATCAAATGCAACATGTCAACTTTGTTTGGATCCTAAACACTTATGAGAGAAGAAAACTTGAACACTGACCAAATACTTGATGATACTGAGGAATTACCGTTTATTTTCTAAGGTGTGATGATAGTATTGTGGGGTTAAGAATTCTTAATTTTCTGGCCAGACGTGATGGCTCACACCTGTAATCCCAGCACTTTGGGAGGCCAAGGCAACGGATCCCGTCTCTACTAAAAATACAAAAATTAGCTGGATGTACTTGCTTGAACCCAGGAGGCAGAGGTTGCAGTAAGCTGAGATCACACCACTGCACTCCAGCCTAGGTGACAGAGTGAGACTCTGTCTCAAAAAAAAAAACAAAAAAGAGTTCTTAATTTTCTGAGATACAAACAGAAGTATTTATGGATGGGATGATGTCTGGATGTCTTCCAAAATAATTCCAGAGGGAATGGGAGGGAGGAGACGGGGTACAGATAAAATAAGAATGAGCACGTGTTGATATTTACTGAAGCTGGGGGATGGTGTACGTAGGTTCATTATACTATTTTACTTTTGTATGTTTGAAACTTTTTGTAATTAAAAAGTTCACACACACACACACACACACACACACACCCTCCAAAATGTCTCTACCTCCCCTACCTACCATCACTCTCGCCTGGACCACTGCAGTGGCCTCCCCTTCACGAGTCGCCTGTTTCCACCCTTACTCTGACGTCTATTTTCCAAGCAGCAGCCAGAGGGAGCCTGTTAAATCCTAAATCAGATTACATCCCTCCTCCGTCCACAATGCTCTTGCGGCTCCCCCTCACTCGGAGTAAAAGCCAAAGTCTTCACCATGGCCTGTGAGGCACCACCCAATCTGTCCTCAGCCACCTCTCTCCCTCACCCCGCACCACTCTCCCCCTCCCTCGTTCTGCCCCTGCTGCGCTGGCTTCTACACTGTCCCTCACACACGTTAGTCATGGCCTCACCTCAGGAACTTCACACTCGCCTGGGATGTTCTTCCCTTAGTTATCCACGTGGCTCACTCTCTCACCTTCCTCAGATCTTCGCTCAGATCTCACTAATCACTAAAGCCTTCCCAGGCCACCCAATCTAAAGTTGCAACCGACCCCCGCCCACAACACACACACACACACACACACACACACACACACACACACACACACACACAGAGTCTCTCACCCACTCCCTATTCCTTTCTATTTTTCCTTATCACTCATCATCACCTAAAGTACCATATATTCTATTACTTTATCATGTCTCACCCTACTAACACATAAGCCCCCTCAAAGAGCGTTTTTGCATGTTTGTAACAGTGCTTAGCACAGAACAAGCACTCCATAAATTTTTGCTAAATTAACAAATGACATTTCTACAAGCCCAGCTGAGTAACTGCATTCTCCCCCTCCCCCATCAGGTTCTGAGTTTTGTGCCCTCCCTCCAACCCAGGGAGGACCCAGAGCTAGTGGGCCCCACCACCCAGCCCAGCAATAGTCACACTGTGAGCCTCCTATTGGGCTGTCTACTCCAAGGCTGCAAGGACCCACTTACCTGAAGTGTCATCTGGGGCCATGGACGGAGAGGGGTGGGGGCTACCAGTGGACCCACTGACTCCTGGACATCAGGATGCTCTGCTAGAGGGAAGAGAAAGGCAGCATTGGGCAAGACAGGCATACAAGTAGGTATGGTTTTGTTAAGAAAATCTGCCATCCTAGCCAACTGGCAGTTTTGCCTCTGAAGCTTTCTGTGACAATCTAAAGCAGAGGGTACCCCTTCATTTTTTTTTTGAGATAGGGTCTCGATGTGTCACCAAGGCTGGGGTGCAGTGGCACAATCATGACTCACTGCAGCATCAACCTCCCAGGCTCAAATGATCCTCCCAGCTCAGCCTCCCGAGTAGCAGGGACTACGGATGCATGCCAGCATGCCCGTCTTTTTTTTTTTTTTTTAAGAGATGAGGTCTCACTATGTTGCCCAGGCTCATCTCGAACTCCTGGCCTCAAGCAATCCTCCTGCCTCAGCCTCCCAAAGTGCTGGGATTACAGGCATGAGCCACTGAGCCCAGCCTTTTTCATTTTTATAGAAAGAAAAACAGTAGGAAGAAAGACATGGTAAATACAAGCTAAAACTTCCGAAGCTTGCCAATTGCTTACCCATGGCAAAGGTGTTATCATCCATGTTCTTCGTCTTCAGTTCCTCCTCGGCAGGCCTGCAGGGCAGAGGAGAGAGTACATGGATCTAATAATACCCTGAGAGGTCACTTCTGCCACCCACTGGCACCTTCTGAGCCTCTGTGCTAGCCCACCTTCACCTGACAGCTGCTGTTTTCTCTTCTGCTGCCTTTGTTTATCCCCTCATCCTAAAAGTCCTACAGCCTCATTATAGAAAATTCGCAAAATACAGGAAAGTCTAAAGAAGCAAGAAAAACAATCACACATCAGCCAGAGACAACTACTGTTACCATTCTGGAAAATTTCCTTCCAGATATTCTACGAAATCATTTAGATTCTACAGACATAATTTCACAGCTAGCTTTGTCCATTTAACAGTAAGAAACATCATTATACACTTTTGCAAACATTTCAAATGGCTGCTTAATACTCATATCATACCATTCCCTTCCTACTGAGCAGCTAAGTTCTTTCATTTAGAGGTTGCAAAGCAAACCAGCAAACAGCATTGGGCATAGTTTTATCGACACTTGTATCATTTCTTTAGGATACATTCCTGGCTATGGAAAGAGAAAAGATAGAAGAACCCATCTTTTCGGCTGGGCGTGGTGGCTTACACCTGTAATTCCAGCACTTTGGGAGGCCGAGGCAGGGAGACCACTTGAGGTTAGGAGTTCAAGACCAGCCTGGGCAACATGATGAAACCCTGTCTCTACTAAAAATACAAAAAATTAGCTGGGCATGGCGGTGCACGCCCATAGTCCCAACTACTTGGGAGGCCGAGGCAGGAGAATCATTTGAACCTGGGAGGCGGAGGTTGCAGTGAGCCAAGATCGCGCCATTGCACTCCAGCCTAGGGGACAAGAGTGAAACTCAGTCTCAAAAAAAAAAAAAGGGCCAGACGCGGTGGCTCACATCTGTAATCCCAACAGTTTGGGAGGCCGAGGCAGGTGGATCACCTGAGGTCAGGAATTCAAGACCAGCCTGGCCAACATGGTGAAACTCCGTCTCTACTAAAAATATAAAAATTAGCTGGGCGTGGTGGTGGGCGCCTGTAATCCCAACTACCTGGGAGGCTGAGGCAGGAAAATCGCTTGAACCCAAGAGGTAGAGATTGCAGTGAGCCGAAATCACACCACTGCACTCCAGCCTGGGCGACAGAGTGAGAGATTATCTCACAAAAACAAAACAAAACAAAACAAAACAAAAACACCTTTTCTAAGAAATGGCAGGTAGACAAGACTGTGAGGCAGAGGAAGGAATGCAAATGGAGACTGGGAGGGAGGTCACAGAGGCCTGGGTCCCTATGCTAACCCTCTCGTCCCCGTATCAGCCTGGCAGGTCGCTTCACCTCCTCACTCATAAAACAGAGCCCCGGGGAGTCAGGATGTGCACTAAGCACAGGGCAGTCAAGAGGAATGAGGATGGACAGCCAGAAATCAGGGCCTGACACACAGCTGGGATTGAATCAACTGTAGATATTTATGGGTCTTGCTCCTCCTTCACCAGGCCAGTCAGATCCCTGAGTGGCATAAGCCGAGTGCATTTCAGGTGGGTCCTCCCAGGGGTGGCATCTCATCATGGAGAAGTCACTGTTCTTATTCTGAAAATGAGTATCAAGTGTCTACAGATTAAGGTAAATGAGGGAAGCATTGACTAAAACCTGAGAGGAGCTGGGGCGAATGCCCACACCTTTTTCTTCCTAAGAGGCAATGTGACATTCTTGATACTTCTGACAATGGTTGAAAAATTTTTTTTTTTGAGATGGAGTCTCGTTCTGTCGCCAGGCTGGAGTGCAATAGCATGATCTCGGCTCACTGCAACCTCTGCCTCCCAGGTTCAAGTGATTCTCCTGCCTCAGCCTCTCAAGTATCAGGGATTACAGGTACCCACCATCACAGCCAGCTAATTTTTGTATTTTTAATAGAGACGGGGTTTCGCCATGTTGGCCAGGCTGGTCTCAAACTCCTGACCTCAGGTGATCCACCCTCCTCGGCCTCCCAATGTGCTGGGGTTACAGGCATGAGCCACCGTGCCCGGCCTGGTTGAAACTTTTTGAAAACCCATAACCAATTACCTTCACAGAAACGAGTATCACCATCTGACCCATACATAGTACCTACTATGGCATTACACACTGTTCTAAGTGCTTCACATTTTTTTAAAGAAGTTTTTGGGGTTTTTTGGTTTTTGTTTTTGTTTTTTTGTATTTTGTTTTTAGAGATGGGGTCTTCCTACGTTGACCAGGCTGGTCGTGAACTCCTGGACTCAAGCGATCCTCCCATCTCAGCCTCCCGAAGTCCTAGTACTACAGGCATGAGCCACGGTGCCTGGGCAACATGTGTTAATTCAATCCTCACAATCACCCTATGAGACAGGTACTTGTAATCCTCTGAAGCAGGCAGTACTATTGTCTCCATTTTACAGAGGATAAAACAGAGGCTGAGTAAATGGCTCAAGGTCATACACTTCACATCACAACCCAGGCCTTTTGGCTCTTACCCAGTCAGCTGCTGCTTCTTGGATGAGGGAGACTGGGGTCTTACCCAACCCATCTCCATCCTTTCTAGAAGTAGATAGAGGGAGGCATCAATACTAGACAAGATCCCTCCCTCCTCCTTCATGCAGGCTTTTCTTTGGACCTGCCTTTGCCCACATATTCATTCCCCATTTCCCTACCTCCATGGGCCTGGGACATGCGTGGCTAGGAGGCCACTAGACACAGAATGGCTGCAAGAACTGCTTTCTATAAACACCCTCGGGGAGAACATTTGAACCATATATACGGATCTAGAGTCTAGAAGGGACCGTCTGTCTTTCTCTACTGTCTAGGACTCACAAATCCCACCAGAGGTACTTGAATCAGAATACTACAGGGCCTAGGGTGGGTGACTCTGGGAGCCCAGCTGCCACCTCCCACACATCACAGATGAGAAAGAGAGATTCAGAGCAAACCAGCTTGGTCTCACACCAATCCCCTCCGTGGTCCTAAAATCCAGGTCTTTGGACTTTTGTTTCAACACAATTTCTGCCAGGCTGCACTAACTTACTTCTTTTTGTTACCATAGTCCTTCATGACAGAAAACATCCTCCTCCTAGGATCTTCTAAACCAAGCCTCTTCAAGAAGGCCCACAGACAGACAGAAAGCCAGCCCTCCCACCTGTGCGCAGTAGCAGGCAAGCCTTCTCCTCCATCTGGCCTAGTCCGGACATATATTACAAACAGGCTTCTAAAAGCCACTGCAGTCATAGATGTGAGACAGAAAAAGGAGAACACTCAGGAATCAGCTAGCCAGCAGGTAAAGGACTCCACAATTCAGTTGGAGGAAGGAGAAAGAAAAACAAATACACAATCAATCCTTCAGCCCCCAGAGCACCCTTTCCATGGCTGAGGAGGGCGAGAACATCCAAAAAGCAGGTCACGCCATTGAGCCAATCCCAAGATCCACAACATCGACAGAAGCAAACAAGTCGTTCTCCAAAGTCAGATATGAAAGCAGAAAGCACAAGCATGTATTGTTCACCTCCTCCACCATGGGCCCCTCTCATTGACACACCAAGGCATTTGAAAACCTTCACATCTATCCTTCAAAACAACACCCTTCCTTTTTACAAATGCAAAAACTAAAACTCAAGGAACTGCATCTCTACACTCACTGACTACACAACCACGCTGGTAACAAACACTCCAGGAGGGCTCCACTTTGAAGAGAGTTTGAAATTGTGGGCTTAAAAAGAAACAAGTTATCTTTGAACCGTCTTTCACAGTAAAAACTCAAGGGCAGCTATGACTTCAATCAACATGAGGATAGTAAGAGAAATCAAGTACAAATGTATACTGACTCACTGATCGGTAACAGAGAAGAGGGGTTCTTAGAAAAATGGGGAGGGAGAAGATTAAGAACAAAACTGTACCTGCAGTATGCCTGCTCGTTTTCAAGAAGGAAACCTGTTCTTTTGGCACCAGCCCCACAAGTACCACGTGGCATCCCCTCAAGGGCAGTGAGCCATAGGGGCCAGGGCACACAGATCTGGAAAATCTTGGACATGCATCATTTGGGTGCTAGTGAGCACTAGTCAAGCTGGTGTCGACTAAAAGGGGCCATCTCAGGCCTGCACGCCAGTCTCCTGGGCGTGCAAATTCCTCCGGCCATCAGGAAACACAATGGCTGCCAAGCTGATAGGCCCCGAGGAGACCAGAGGGTGAGGATTTGGAAAGAGGTGGTGTTGGCCCCGGCCTAGGCCAGCCAAGAAAGCCAAGAAAGGTGATTCGCCAGTCACAGAGTAAGCGAGCGGGTGAGGGCTGACAAGCCCTGTGGAGAAAAGCAAAGCAGACTTTCAGAGCAGTCACAGACTGCCATTGCCACCACCACCCGAGTCCTCTGGAGCACCCCCAGCATTCATGTTTTCAAAGAATTTTGCCAGCCCAAAGTGGGTCAGGCACTGAAACCCAAAGGGAAACTCAGCAGACCCCGGCTCCCATGTAGTCAACCTGAAGATAACGCTGACTTTCCGGGGGGATGAGTGGCTTCAGAAACCTGCCCCACGATACTCAGAATTGCAGTTACCCTGAGCCATCTGCTTTCTGAAAAGAACAGGGTTTGAAGGTGGCTGTGAAAGCCACCAAGTTATGTGGGGCACTGCTTTGCCTTCCCCAACAAGTGTGTCAGCCTCAACTCTGGGACTTGCGGGTGATCCAGTGGGGTAGAGGGAGAGCAGTTTCTCGTGCCATGAGCTTCTTCAACAGCCATGACTTCATTCTTTGGCCACGACCCATAGTAAGAAATCCATTCTACATCATAACCCAGCACACCCACACGTGTAAACAGACATATAAATAACTGAAAAATGGTTGTTCTTCGAGTGAAACAATACTTACCTTTACTGCATGTGGTGATACACTGGCATTTCTTATGCTATTTCCTTTTTCTTTTTAATGCTTGTTGAAACCCAGTAAATTGATTTCACAACTCAATAAAGGGTTAGGATATGCAATTTTGAACAATTCCAGCTCTGCCACCTATCAGCTGTGTGACCTGGGGCAAGTTACTTAACCTCTCTGTGCCTCAGTTACCTCATCTCTAAGGAGGGGATAATAATACCTACATCAGTGAGTTGTTCAGCAGATCAAAGAAATATTTGAAAAGTACCTATAAAGCACTTAACAGTAACCCCCTCCAAATTTCCATTGAGGGAAACTGAAGCTCTGAAAGGAAAGCAACTTGCCCAGTGTTGCCCTGCTGGTAAAATGCATCACCCAGCCTGGTACAGTAGCTAAGAGCTGGAGCACTAGAGCAGGACCACACAGGCTCAGATCCCAGCTCTGCCACTTTCTTAGCACGTGGCCTCAGGCCCATGTCCTTAACCATAATGCCCTACCAAGTTTTCTGTGGCATAAAAGAGGATCACGTTCACATTAATTCCTCACTCTACAGAAAACTAAGATGCCCCTGACTTGTCCCGTTCAACTCCAGTTATTCTGGTTTCCCCTGAGGCTGCCAACTCAGATAGCAGGTTGGATCCCCATCCCTTCAGTTATAGGTGCACTGAAAGACAGTGGGCCTTCCTGTGCATCAGCCCCAGTGACGGATCCTGGAGACACCATGGTGAGCAAACCCAACTAGGAAGCTTACAATTCAGTATGGAGGAAGACATTAAAAAAATACTCAAACTCATTATTTCAACAAACATTTATTGAGCACCTGCTAAGTGCCAGGCACTGTGGCAGGCCTGCAGGAATACAGTGGTGAATGAAAGCAGACCATGTCCCTACCCCTCACGGAGCTTACAGTCTAGCGGGGCAGAGAGTCATCCAGCAACCCCCTAATAAAGATATAACTACAAACTGCGATCAGTGCCTTTAGAAAAGGAAAGAATGCCCTAGAATAAGGGTCCCTGGCCCAATCTACAGGGTCAGGCAGGGCTTACTTAAGGATGCTGAAAAGCAAAACGAGCAAGTGGGGAGGTAGGGGAGTGAGAGGCTGCTTGGGAACACTGTGGGAGAGGTGATGAATGCAGTCCCCGACAAGGTGAGTTTGAGGAATTATTTGGGCCATCAGTCAAGTGGAGATGCCGAGTTTGGATACATGAAGCTAAGGGAAGAGCCAGGAGAAAGAGAAGGGCCAGAGAGTTAAGAGGAAAACCAGCAGAGTGTGGTCTCAAGGCAAGGGAAGACAAAGTGTTTTAAGTAGGAGTGGTCAACCACTTCAAGAGGAAAACTAAAAAACCACCTGCAGAATCTGGCAGATGCCGGGGGCTAACACTTACGGGGGTGAGCAAGTGCAGAAGGCAAGTACAGGCAACTCTGCAGGGGTCAGCAGTGAAGGGGAGGGTGATGAGGTGCTGGCCAGAAGCAGGAGGGAGAGAACGTGGGGTCAGCGGAGACAGAAGGGATGCTGGCACAGGCAAAGGTGAATAGAGGATCAAGCAAGGAGGGCAGCAGAAAACCTGCCAGGAGAGAAAAGGTGACTGATGATGTCAGATTCTAGAGCAAGTAGCAGAAACTGGGACCCAGAGCACAGGAGGGAGAAGTGGCCTGAGCAAGAAGGGACTCCTCGTCATCTGTAACACAGGGGAGGGAAATCAGCGTGCAGACTTGGGGGCCACAAGTTATAGGGAGTTCCATTCTTATGGCTTCTGTTTTGTTTTTTGAAGCAGGAGAGAAAGTCTGAAGGTAAAGAACATTTGAAAGAGTCACTTCAGAGGAGAAACGAGTGGATCAAAAAAATATAGTAGAACTGCTAGGCAGGGTGGCCGATGACCCCTCGACTGGTGGCGATGTTCATCTGCTCTGCCATGGGACATTCTCTAACAAAGCTTAGCACGTGCTGGGCTGATGAGTGCTATGAAAAAGCCAGGGGCCCGAGGACACTGGGGTGGACAGGCTCCCCTGGGGAAGTCCTCTTAGAACTGAGGGATCAACACTGGAGGAGACTGCAAGGGGTACGGGATAAATGTTCCTGGTGAAGGAAACAGCAGGGGCAAAGGCCCTGCAGCAGAAAGGAGCGAGGCCCTTTGGAGTAACAGAAAGACCATGGTGACAGGAGCTCAGAAAGACCACTGGTGTTAAGACTATGAGCCAGTGGAGGCCAGATTGGGGAATGGGATGGGAGGGTGCTTGAAGACCATGGTGAGGCTCTCTTGGTCTTTACTTTTAAGAAGAATAGGACACTTCCAAAGGGTAGTGTCAAGTGCCAAGGAAGATCAGGAGGGCTTTTCCCCACACCAGCCCTAGGACTTTGGACTCTGGGAGCCTCAGTTTGCTCATCCAGGAAAGAGAAATTTAAAACCCTCTACTTCACAGGGAATGTTGTCGGAATTAAACCAGACCTTGCATGAAAATATAGTACTCAGTGAAGTGCCTGGCGAAGAGCAGGGGCTCAGCCAGGTCTCATACAACAAATCCTCTGTACTCCATCCCACAAGCCCTGTGACATCTTAGGACCACTCTGCATCTCTTTCCCTGCTGGAACCTAGCACTGTGCCCAGCACACAGTAGGCAGTCAATAAATGCTTGTCGATGAATCATCTCTAAGCTTTAGAGTTACCAAATGCCTGGTCCAGCAACCCAGGGAAAGCAGCCATTTGGGTTTCTGAACTCTATCCTGATGGCTACCACGGACTTCTCCCATGCCCTCACCTGATGTGGCTGTGCTCAGTGCACAGAGGGCCTACAGCCAACATTTCCTCAACAGGAAGCCCTCTGATAGGGCTCCCACAGGTAAGGGATATACCCTGAGATCCTCCGCCATTTCCCAAGAGGGCTAGGTCACAAAGGGTGGCTAGTCTTCAACAGTGCTGCAAGTCACTGGCAGCACACAGGTTCTAAAACAATAATATGTTGAAATGTACTCACCAAGAAAGCCACCGACCTACAAAGAAACCCTTATCGCTGATCTTGCAATGAGCACCAACCTCCCCTTTGCAAGAGCTGAGATCGAAAGATAAAGAAGCTATCAAAAAGCCATCTGCCCACTTAAAATAATATCACAAGTCATGTTAGGAACCACAGACCTGGGGCCAGATACCAAAACAATTGTCTGAACAGGCTGCTTCAATTTCTCCTTAAAACCGCCCATGTATGTTAAAAGAAAAACACCCTCTCCACCCACCTTGGCCCTGCAAGGTTTTGATTTCTCTGTTCTCTGCCTTTCACACTCTTTAAAATGACCAAACTCCTTTACCCAAACTGTCGCATCTTACAGACAGGGTTCCCATGACAGCCGGCGGGGATGACAGCTTGGGAAAGTGATAGAAATGAAGGTAGCTCTGGGGTACTGGACCTGCTCAGTATCTTCATCTGGGTGGTGGCTACACAAGTGCATACATATGTACAAATCCACTGGGCTATACACAGAATATCAGTACACTTTATGTAGGTATACCTCGATAAAGCAAAAAAAAAAAAAAAGGTAAAAGGAAAGCACGACATGCTGGGAACACCAAGAGTGAAATCCAGAATTTGCCCTGAATCATGCCACGCTTTCTAGAGGACCAGTTTAAAAAAAAAAAATAGAAAAAAATAAATGTCCCTAGCATTTCTTCCCTGGCCCTGTCACTCACTAGCTGAGAGGCTTTGAGCAAGCTGGCTCATCTCTCTGAGCTACCTGTCTCCCCTCTACTAAATGGGGATAATCATAGCACCTACACAACACAGCATGCACAGCAGGCCTCACGGAGAGAATGGATCTGATGTTCATAGCACAGAAATCAGTAAATGCTGGCCAGTTATCTTTTGCAGTTACCACCATGCTTCAGTTACCTTGCCCATGTTTGCTGCATTCAATCCAACCATGCAAAGTGACTGTCATTTCCCTTAGCAGAGAAGGAAACGGAGGCAAGGCCACACAGCTGATGGGCGGAGCCGAATTTAGGAGAGGAATCCAGGAAACTGTAGGTGTGGCTCCCTAAATACTGACACTAGCTAACACCTGTATGATACTACTTTGAGCCAGACTCGGTTCTGAGCACCTTTACTCTTATCCCGTAAAGTAGATGCTATAATTCTGTTTTACAGGTGAGGGTCCTGAGGCATGGTGTAGTTAAATGCGTTGGCCAAGGTCACAAGGCCAGTAAGTGGCAGCGCCAGGATTTGAACCCAGGCAATCTATGCCAGAATCCACACTCTTAATGCTGTAAGAAAAACCATGCTGCCTGCCCCCTTTAAATGAAGTCTCAGATTATGGTGGGGCTCACAGGTGGGTGAGTGGGTACCTGCCTGCCTGCTCAGTTACCCAGGCACATCTGCCCACCAGACCGGAGCTAGACCTTTCTGAACCACTCACAGCCTAAGGCCTTACCAGAACCAGCAGAACCCACAAATGTCTTACTGCAGCCAGGGGCTTCTGACCAAGCGTATACATACAAGGTCCAAAAAGCATTTTCCCATTTCCATTCCCAGTCCTCCCAGGAACAGGGAAATGTATACATTTTAGGGAGAATCTAGTGATCCTGGGCCAGACTTAGGTGACCGCAAAAAGAATCAGGACTAGCTGCTGCCCTTAAAGAACTCATAGCTTGATAGAGGAAACCTAGGGAAATCTTCTGGGGCCCCCTGGGGTATAACTGATTATTTCTCCCTGTCCCTAAATGATCACAGGTGGTGTGGCAAAAAAACAAGGGACAAAAACTTCAAGTCCAGTACCCATCTGGTTCTGTCTCTCTGCTAGAGCCACTGCTTTCTTGTGAGAGCATGGGCTCAGCCCCTCGCCTCCACAGGACTCAAAAGTAGATTACAGCGTTAACAGTAGAGTGCACAGGCTTCAAGGTCAGGCATGGGTGAACTGGAAGAGCCAGGTGCCATCACTGCCTCAACCAGTTTCTCCACCTCTGGAATCCTGGTTTCCTGCTCTGTCAGAAAGAGAATCTGCTCTACCCCCCACTGGCAAAGCCCTTGGTCCACACTATGTCATTGCAGTTCTCTCCACTCCAGCACACTGCTGATCATTCACACCAAGCTCATTTCCACCCCAGGACCTTTGCACTTGCTGTTTCCTCTACCTAGAACACCCTTGTTCCATATATGCACATAACTGTTATTCATCATCCAGGACTTAGTTTAAATGAAACCTCCTCAGAAAAGTCCTCCCTGTTCCTTTTCCTACAAACTCTCCCCCACCTCCCCACCGTATCTGCATAACTCTTCTTTATCATCATTCGGGACTCACCTCCTCAAAGGCCCTCCCTTTAACAGCATGTCTGACACAGTCATTCCCTCCCAATCTATCCCCTTACTCCCTTCAGCAGCTAACTTTGTCCCTATTTATCCTATCTGCTTGCTTGCTTGTTTTTTCAAACTGTCTCCCATAGGAGCCTGTATGAATCCTTGAGGGTAGGGTAGATGTCTGTCTTGTTCAGGGCTTTACAGTGGAACTCAATAAATGGAGGAATAAAACCCCAGTTAAAACAGTGCCTAGCACGTGTTTGACCTCCATCACTCTTTGACTGACTGACTCAATGCACCCTCCTCCCTGTCCTGGAGAGCAGGCCTGAGGGGTTCCTGGGCCGGAATGCTTGTCCTCCATCCCAGACACAGCCCTGCGTTGGCGGAGGTGGCGCTGGCTGACATTACCTGCGCCTCACCGGCTTCATGCAGCTCTTCAGCTGCCTGGCCTCAGCCTCCACGGGACCCTGGCACTCGGGCTGTGGCTCCAGCTGCGGCAGCTGCTGCTGCTGGGGCAGCCCTTCGGCATCAGTGGGTGTGGGAGCGGGTGCGATCCGGAGCAGGACTGTGTAGTTGCGGCCGTGGTTGTTGGCCCAGAAAGTGCCCTCAGGGGTCTCATAGCGCACCACGAAGTCGAGGCGCGCCCCATCGCCCGCGCCCTCAGCAAAGGGCAGCTGGAAGGCAAAGCGGTCGGTGCGGCCGCCGTCGTCGGGCGAGGAGGCGGATGCCTGGCCGGGACCCAGGCCGAGCCCCGGATCCAGGATGGGATCTCCTGCTCCTGTTCCTCCCGCTCCTGCCCACGGCGGGCTGCGCGGGACGTAGCGCGCTGGGTGGTCGCAAAAGGAAGCCCAGCCGTCGTGTGAGGCCCGCACGTGCACCGCCTTCTCGAAGGAGCGGTTCAGCACGCGTACCAACCCGCGCAGCACCGGCGGGCGGCCCCCAGGCACCCACACCCCGGCACCCCCGGGGACCGCTCCGGGAGGCGGCAGCAGCGCCTCCAGCTCCACCATGACGCGCCCCAAGCGCTCCAGACGGCCCGGCGCGGGCGGCAGCGAAAATGTGGGGACCAGGTAAAACCCCCCGCCAGCGGGGACGGGGCACAGCGGTGAGGGCTCGGGGCAAGCCTCCTCTTCCTCCTCCCCTTCATCCCCATCCTCGCCATCGTCGTCCTCGTCGGCCCCGCCGCCGCCGCCGCCATCTTGCCCGGCCGCCGCCGCCATCTTGCCCGCCCCGGGCCCGCCCCACGGCCGGTAGCGGCGCAACTGCGCCAGCGGCAGCCCCAAGGCCTCGTCGGCGAACAGCACCCTCCGCGGGGCCACCGCCGCCTCGACCGAGGTGCGGGGCTCACCCGCGGCCGGCGAGGGGGGCGCGGAATGCCGCAGCGGGGGCTCCACAGGGGCCGTACGCGCCATATCGGCGGCGGCGGCGGCACCGACGGCACCGGCGGCGGGACCGGCGGGGGCAGGGCCTGAAGGGGCGGGCAGCCAATGGGAAGGCCAGCGCGGAGGGGTACGGCTCACGGGGGCATAGGCGGTGAGATGAAGACAAGTATTGCAGAGGGCCAATGGGCAGCCATGCACGGATGACGTACAGCGAATTGAGAGCCGGAGAAGCACGCAGCCAATGGGGATGCCCGGGAGTGGGCGGTGTAGGGGGCGGGATGATCGAGGAATCAATGGAGAGGCCGGAATGGGGGTGGTGCGAAATCCATGATGAAGAAAACAGAAGCAGACAGCTAATGCGGAAGTCTGAGCGAGAGAGGCATGTGGGCGGTGGGAAAAGTGGAATGGCTACAGGCGATGAGGGCAGCCGGGAACGAACGCAGAGGCCCAAAAAGTGGGAGATCCCGCGGGTTGCGTAGGCGGTGGAACGGTAGCTAGAGAGAGAGAACAGCCAATGGAGAGCCACGCGTGGGATGACGACAATGGCTGCAGCGAGCCAATGGGGAGGCTTGTGAGCGTGCACTGCGGCTTCGAAGGGGTGGTGCCAAGGTGGAGCTAGCCAATACGAAGGCTAAAAGGAGACCAAGAGGCGGGTGTGTAGGGAGCCGAGCCAATGGAGGTGGAGGCTGAAGGCGGGAGCGAGGACGAGAGCTGGCGGATAGCCAATGAGGGAGCCAGGGTGAAGGCGTAGAGACCTCAAAGGACAGTACTAGTATGGGATGAGCCAATGCCGAGGCTAGATAGTGCAGCGGGACGGAGGGAGGACTTGGAGGCAAGATGGGGAAAAAAGCAGAGCCGACGGGGGCAGTGTAGGTGGTGTGAAGGGAGGCATGAGTAGCCAATAAGGAGGCTGGAGAGGAGGACGCTGTGTAGACAGAGTCTGAGGTATTGGGTGGCCGGACAGCAGAACCATAGAACGCAGGCAGCCATTAGGAAAAATGTGCTTCTCAGGGATGGGGTTACCCTCTCCCTAACCCTCCGTGACTCCCCATTGCCCCAGGAATACCCAGAGCCCCTGAAGGCCTAGACCACACCTTGGTGTGTGAACTAGGAAAGTGAAAATGACTGTCCTGTTGCAGTTAGTTACTTACTGGGTCCTCCCTGCCCAACTACAACCTTTTCTTGAGCAGTGCCACAAGCCAAGAATGCCCCTGATTGTTAGCCGCAAGCACTCTCCAGGACTTGATACTATTGTTGAATGAATGGCCGAATAGGAAATTTAACTTTCTGAAGGATTCACTTTTTTAAATTTCAGCTCAGCAAACACTGACCTGACTGTGTGCTACCAGAAGTTGATTGGGCATATGGGTAGCTTCTGACTAATGGAATCACAATCAAAGCCCTGTCCTTCTTGCCCAACCTGACACTCCACACCCCACAGGGGCCTCACCTCCCTTCTTTCTGTCCCCCCATCTCTGCTTCTACTGTTCCCTCTCCCAAGAGTGCTGTTCCTTCTGCTGCTTCCATCTAGTAAACTCCTTTCGCTCTCCCTTTGGGGTCTCACCTTCTGTGGGAACTCAACTGCAGCTTTTGTCCGCTGAACACATCCATTCATACATTCCTTCTCCATCCTGGGAAGATTTACTGAACACCTACTGAGTGCCAGGTTCTGAGCATGCTGTTATCTCATTAGAACCTCACAGCATCCTAGGAGGGAGGTGATCCTTCCAGCAGCCCCTCTCCCCAGGTCTCCATGTTCAGGATGTCCATGAGTTAGAAATGAATATGTTCAGCTGCAAGTAACAGAAAAATCATAAAATAATGGGGGCTTAAGCAAGACAGAACTTTATTTTTTTCTCACCTAAAAGTTCAAGCTGGCAAATAGTCCAGGGACTCCTTCCTGCCCACCTGGTTTGGGCATTGTCTGTCCCGATCTGGCTCCAAGACTCTCAGTCTTCAACAAATCCTTTTGGCTGTCTATTAAAAATATTTACCAAATCCATCCTCTTCTCACCACCTCCACTGCCAGCACTATCACCAGTCACCTAGACTACTGCAGTAGCCAGCTCCTTGCTGGTCCCCTGCTTCCACATTCAGGCCCTAGACCCCATTGTACACTCAGCATTCAGGGGCTTCCTGTTAAATCCTAACACGGTTTGTGTTTCTCCTCTGCTTGCAACCCTGTCATGCCTTCCTCCTCACTCAGCGTTGAAGCCAAAGTCCTTACCATGGCCTACAAGGTCCTGCGTGGTCTAACCTCCGAGTCCCCTTTCTGACCTCACCTCCAGCTTCTCTTCTTGCTCTCTCCACACTAACCACACCAGCCCCCTTGTAGACCTTGAACAAATCAGGTACATTCCCACCTCAGGACCTTTGCCCTGGCTGTTTCCTTTGGAGTTCCTCAGATATCTAGCTGGCTCCCTCCCTCATCTCCTTCAAGTCTTTGTCAGAGGCCCCTGTCTCTGGGGACTTTTCCTGACCCGTTTAATCTTGCCTACTCACCCCCAACTCCCAGCCCTCCCAGTCTCCTTCCCGAGAAGCCCTCCATGAGAGAGGATATAGTCCAGTATAGAGGGGAGGTAGCGACCTCTACCCCTCTCTGCCCTCCTGACCCCAGCCCCCATTCTGCAAGGATCTTGGCTTTCAGCAGCCGTAGCATTTCCCTCTCACACCCTGGGCCTGCCCAAGGGGCCAGCTCACATTCTCGGCCACCATCCTCACTTCGTTTGCCTCCTATATCTCTGGCCACTCTCTTTCATGGAGTGAGTGACAGTAAGGGACAGATGGTCTGGGGAAGGTATAAGGAGAATGCAGCCCACACCTCTGATCCTGAGAGAGAAAACTAGCCCCCTTTTCCAGGAGGGGGACAGGTGCTGGGGCAGGGAACAATGCCTCTGCTGATAGAACTGGCCTGGTTTATAATTACGCAGGAGGTGTAGGGAACATTCCGACCCAAGTCTGCAGGGAGCAAGGGGTTATTAACTATGGGAACATCAGTGCAAGGGATCATTAACCTTAGGACCATCACTGCAAGGGGTCATTAACCTTGGGGCCATCACTAGAATCAGCTCCCCAGGACTCCTTCCTGACATGCATGCTCCTCACCCCCTCCCTTGCTCCCTCCCACATGCCGTGACATCTGTTAAACACCTGCTGTTCACAGGGTCCCTGCAGGCCTCCAAGCAGGGGACCTCATCCCACCTTGGTGCCTCCCCTGGCTGTCCAACACACCCAAGCCATTTTTGGGTCTCAGATGTGTCCCACCAACTCAGAAGCCTCAACCAGCGAAAGTTTTGTTTTGAACTAATGGTGGGGAGGGTTGGGTGTTTTTTTTTTTTTTTAATTGTTGTTGGCTGATTTTTTTAAGGTCTTTTTTTTTCTATTCTTTTTTTTTTTTTTTCTTGTCTTCACAAAGCCAGGCCATCAGGCCCATTCTGGGCTTTTCCAGAAGGGTGAGTCTGAGTTGAGGAAAGAGGCCCTCCTTTTTACGAGGGCTTAGAAGGTTGGGGGAGGAAAGGGGGCAAAGGGGTGAAGGGGTGGATCTTGGCCACCAGATTTGTACCATGTAAATAAAAAGCCCTTTCCAATTTCTCTTCCCCAGGTCTGAAGCCAGTCTTGTAGAGGGCTGGAGTGGTTGTTGGACGACTAGAACCCTGGGCTTTGCAGGGTGCTGGGAGCTGGAAGTCTTCACCATGGCCTGTCAGGAGAAGCCCCTGGGGGCTGGTCTACCATGCTGACCAGTGGTTGAATAGAGTGCCTGCTGAGGTCAAGAGATGCAGCCGCCAATTCCTGGACAACCTAAAAGCCTCACAAGCTTCAAGTCTCCAAGGACTCTCCAAATCCCAGGATCTCCCTGCCATCACATCCTAGAATTTAAAACCTGAGAACATCAAGTTCAGGAAAGCTTGGGGATTTCAAAGCCCAGCACCAAAGAAAGCGGGACCCACACTCGCCAGCTCTGTGATCTTGGGCAAGTTGCTTGACTACTTATACCTCCGTTTCCCTCATCTGTATAACAGGAATACAATAATGATGAGATGGAGCTCAAGGGGCCATGGTGAGGATTGAACATGATCACTTGTGAGACATGTTCAGCACTGTATCTGACCCATGGAAAATTCAAGATAAACATCAGCTACTGAGATGATGGCGGATATTTGGAATCCTAAATCCTTGGAAACTGGGGCTTTTTGAAGTAAAAGACCCCAAAGGCTGAGGGCCTCAGAAGCATCAGGCCATGATGTTCCTGAAACAAGAGGGTCAGGGTCCCAATGGGCCTCTGGGGTTCATCGTGAGGATGGATGCATTAATATTGGGGACCTGCTAGGGACCTTCCCAGTGGGACAGTGGCTGGGTCAGGGCACTCAAGCCCTAAAACGTGATGAGGCGAGACTTTTCTCTCTTTCCTCATTCAGTAACTGTCAGTAGATTCTGGGAGCCAGGGATTCTCCGACTCTTCAAGTCCATGAATTTTAGGGGATGACAGTGGGCTCTCCGCTTTCTCCTCCATGAAGTAACTTACATGCCCCTCACCCTCTGTGGGAGGGGTGTTGCAGGGGGTGCAGAACTCCCCTCGCCGGGTAGTTCAAGCAATGGGGACCATATCAATTCCATCTATAGGGAAACTGAGGCCTGGAGTAGGGCGAGGCCTCTGGGAACCCAGCCCTATTCTGTCTCTTTCCCTGGCATTTCCCATCCACACATAGAGCTTCAGATTCTCTTTCTTTCCCCAGAGACCCTCAAATATCCTCTCACTCACAGAATGGTGTCTCTGCCTGCCTCGGGTTGGCCCTGTGATTTATTTTAGTTCTTTTCCCTTGTTTTTTTTTTTTCAAACTCTATACACTTTTGTTTTAAAAACTGTGGTTTCTCATGAGCCCTATTATCTCATTGATACCTCTCACCTCTGTGGTGAGGGGAAGAAATCATATTTTCAGATGACTCGTAAAGGGCAAAGAAAAAAACCCAAAATTTCAAAATTTCCGTTTAAGTCTCATAATCAAGAAAAGGAGAAACACAGAGAGAGAGAAAAAAAAAACTATGAGAACCCCTCCCCACCCCGTGATTATCAGCGCACACACTCATCGAAAAAAATTTGGATTATTAGAAGAGAGAGGTCTGCGGCTTCCACACCGTACAGCGTGGTTTTTCTTCTCGGTATAAAAGCAAAGTTGTTTTTGATACGTGACAGTTTCCCACAAGCCAGGCTGATCCTTTTCTGTCAGTCCACTTCACCAAGGTGAGTGTCCCTGCTCTCCCCTACCAGATGTGGGCCCCATTGGAGGAGATGGCAGGGAGGTAGGCACGGCGGGGGGGTCAGGGGCCCTCTGGTACAGTGGGATGTACCCAGCTACCGTGATTCCAGCCAGGTAAGGTCTTTAAAAAAATAATAGAATAAATGGCAGAAGACTTAAAGGTGAAGTACTTAATGCATGGGCAGGGGCAAAAATAAATGAATTCATCAATTGATACGTAGATGGATAGGATTTTTAAAATATGTCAGCTGCCAGTCTTTATGGATTTCAGAGCTTTGAACAACTTGAAATGCTGTCCAGGTGCAACTGAAAATTTCAACTGCATCTCTCTCATCTCTTTGTCTCTTAGCTCTTGATGCCTCTCATCCTTCTCTGTCTCTCTGCTCACCCTGTCTTGCTCTTTTACATGTTTCTCTGCCTCTCTTTCTCCCGCCATCTGTCTGTCGCTACACTCAGACTCTCTTTCCCCGCATCTCTCCTGGCCTCTGACCATCTCCCCTATCTCTGTCTCCTCCATCTTGACCACACTCCATCGATCTCCTTTCCTCCATCTCTCCCGCTCTCTTTTCTTGCCTTCCCCCACCTGCCTTCCCAGCCAGCATCCAGCCTAGAGCTTTGTACACAGCTGGCGTTTAATAATAGTAATGTCGCCGAGGACCTTTACATTTTATGAGAGTGAGCATCAGTTCTGTTCACCCTAGTAGCAGGAGGATTGCAAGGTGCCGGGGCAAGCTGAGCACTTAACTGAACTTTGCTTGTATCGCTTTAGAGGAGACCCTTGGGGCGGGGGGGCAGGGAGCACTTCACACCATTGTCAACCGTAGTTTAGCTGTGTGGACCTACCCCAGGACTGCATGTGTGTGACCAGAGTCCATATTCAGGAAGCAAACAGGTTGTTCAGGGCTGGGGTGAGCTCGATTCTGCAGGCTTAGCACAGCGTTTGGCACAAAGTAAGTGCTCACGAAGTGTTAGCTATTAGTATTTCTGTAACCAAATTAGAATCATGCTATATATTGGTTTTGTTCCTGCTTTATTCAATTAACAGTAGTGTTTTTGAAGCTTACTAAAAATTGTTTGAACACATGATCTTTCATGATGGACAAGACTGTCCTCACATCAGCATGAACTTTGATTGATTTGACCAAGTGCCGATTGTTGGACATTCCGGTTGTTTCTCGTTTTTTTCTATAAACATCCCTGACTGCTTCCTTGGATTCCTGAAAAGGGAGTTGCTGGGGCAAAGGGGGCGTGCATTTTTAAAGTTTATGACCCTCTCTGCTAATTCTCCTTCCAAAAGGTTGTCCTATTTTATGCTCCCTCTACTTAAGCTAACCCTAGGTGAGTATTATTATGTTTTAATTATTTCCCAACATGACAGGTAAGAAAAACACATTATCACATTGTTGAAATTTGCATCTTGTGATTACTTTTACTATTCATTGGCCATTCATGCTTTTTTTTTTTTTTTTTTGGTTGTCTGGTCATGTCCTTACTCCTAATAGGGTGTTCATCTTATTTTTCCCTTATTGATTTGCCACAGCTCTTTATTTGGAATGGTTATTAACCTTTCATCAGCCATTACATATATAGCAAATATTTTCCCCAATTCATCATTTGCTTTTTTTCTATTTGTTTATGGTGTTTTTTGTGATGCTTATGATGGTTTTATACAGTCAAATAGGTTAGTCTTTTTTTCTGTGGCTTCTGTCTCTGGTTTTGTGCTTAGAAAGTCCTTTCCTACTTGAAAATGAGATAAATGTTCACCTATGTTGGCTTCTAGTCTCTTTTATGGCTTCATTTTTTCCATTTACTATAGAGGTTAAGAGTGTGGGTACTGGAGCCAGACTGTCTGGGACAAACCCAGCGTCACCCCAAGCCCTATGTGTGATTTTTAGCCAGGCACTTAACCTCTCCATACCTCCATTTCCTCATATGTACTGCAATGGTTATAATAGTACCTTCCTCAGGAGTCTTTGTTTAGATTAAAATTTTTAACCACAGTAAATACTTAGCACAAGGCCTGACACACAATAAACCCAAGATCAGCATTAGGTGTTAAAACTTATATCTTGAATGGATCTGGGCATTTTAGGGTATATGATGATGGTGACATTTCAAACTGGGCAGGGAGGGGTTGTTGGGATAATGGACTGACTATTCACTCAATAACTTTATCTTCTCCCTAATTATCTCAGACACATTTGTTAAACCATACTCCATGGTCCTCCAGTTTGAAATGCCACATTCATCACAAATTCAGTTCTCTCCATATGTGGGTCCATGTCCAAGCTTTCTATTCTGTTCTCTTCCCCAGTATCTGTTCTTATACCAGGGCCACACTGTTTTGCTGATTGTTGCTTTGCAATACAATTCAATACCCAGCCATGGGTGTCCCTGGCACCTTGCCCTTCTTTATTCTTGATTATTTCAGGCAGCATCAGTTGAACCAGCCAGAGACCAGCAAATGTTCTTATTTGAGGCAATCCTCCTCTCGCACACATGCACTCTGGCTCTCCATGCATGTGTCCATTTCTCTCAATGTCTCTCACTATCTCTTGTTCTCTCTTGCTCGCTCTTTGTGTGTGTCTCTTTGTCTCTATGTATCCCTATCTCTCAGCCAGTCCCCTGGATAGAGGGGCAATTGTCAACTTGAAGCCCTGCAGACACCTAATGACTTAACCAGACAGCGTAGAAGGGCCCTGGCCCTTGTCTACTCCACGCCTCTCCGTGCTCAGTGTAGAAGGGCAAATTGAAGACCAGAGATCTCAGGGCCTCACCGAAATGCAGCGGCAGAGTTGAAATCCAAGCCTAGATCTCAGGACTCTAGGTGGGACCCTGGTTCTGGCTCTCTCCCCAACTGCAGGCCTCAGTTTACCCCTCAGCACCCAGAAGGGGGAAGGGGAACCTGGGCTACCATTCCCCCTTCTGCCTTCTCACACGTTGGACCCCAACTTCCCACAGGTTGGACGATCCACGATCACAGTGTGGGGCCCAGCCTCACAAGAGCTGGGCTAGGTGAGGCCCCGGACTCCATAGGTCAGGAGGCCTAGTTGGCCAGAGCGTGGTGATGATGGAGGCATGTCAGTCAGTCAGGCTGTGTGTCCCCAGAGCTGGTGCTGGTCCCCGAAAACCTTGATTGTGGGGCCCCTCTAGAGAGTCTGATGATGGGCTCTGTATTGGCGAAGGCTGAGGCTTTTCCAGCTCCCCCCATGAGGCCCAGACCAAAGGCACACCAGCCTCAACCTCCTCCTCCCCCTGTTGCCATCTCTGGCGGAGTGGCCATGTATTTGGGAACGTTGTTCCAGAGTGGACAGGGAGACTGAGGCCCTAGGGAGGCTGGCTCTGTTTCCAGGCCTGGTAGGCAAGAGGCCCTATGAAGCAGCAAGCTGCCTGACTTTCAGATGGTTCCAAGGAGTTTGGACACCAGGGACACTGGCCTACACATACTGAGACTTTGGGACCGTAGACCCCACAGTCTGTGGTTTTGAGATTCTAGGATCCTTTAAATCTAAGAAATGCTGTTCTATGATTCTGAGGTCCTGGTGTTATACTATTTGAAGACCCCAGGGGTCCCAGTATCTGTGGAGCCTGCCTGGCACTCTCAGAGCTTCAAACCTGGGTCCTCTCCACAACCCAAGAAGGGCCAGGTCTTCAGAGCTAGGGGCTTGTCATAGTGGCCAGATGGACATCACCTACCACATCCACCAGCACCCATGTCACCCCACCTGGGCCAAGCCTGCTGCAGGACAGGGCAGCCAGTTCTCGGAACGAAACCTGTGGGGTGGGGTATCTGCCCTCTTCTCTTCCTCCGTGGTGTCGATGAAGCCCGGCGCATCCGGCCGCCATGACGTCAATGGCGGAAAAATCTGGGCAAGTCGGGGGCTGTGACAACAGGGCCCAGATGCAGACCCCGATATGAAAACATAATCTGTGTCCCAGAAACATCCCCCATTCAGCTTCTGAGAAACCCAGTCAGAAAGGGACGTCCCAACAGACAGTGCAGGAAGCCGGCTGCCCAGCCCGGCCCTCTAGGTCCTCTACCCCCAGACAGATCATCTCCATGTCCCTGTCTGAGAATGTATCTATGCTTTGCTGAGTCAGGCCATCCCACATGTGTTTGGGGAGAATTCTTAGCTCTGGCCAAGTGTCCAGGCAGCTTCAGAAGTGACCACAGGCCAGCCACATGGGCCAGGCCAGAGTGGTGGAAAACATCCATTTGCACCGAAATCGGTATTAGTTTGTTCTGGCTGCTATAACAAAGTACCACAACTGAGTGGCTTCAGCAACAGAAATTGATCATCTCACAGTTCTGGAGGCCAGAGTCCAAGATCAAGGTGTTGCCAGGGTTGGTTCCTTCTGGGGGCCATAAGGGAGAAGCTGCTCCAGGCCTCTCCCCCAGCTTCTGGTGGTTGCTGGCAATCTTTGTTATTTCTTGGCTTGAAGGAGCATCACCCCATCTCTGGCTTCATTCATTCACTCACCTTCTCATCTCACCAGTGCTCTCCCAGGCCCTTGTTCGGAGCCTCCACAGACCCACACTCCTGTTTCTCACGCAGTAATGTTCTAAGCCCCCAGGAGACTAAGAACTTAATACCTGGATTCTCACACTCATCTCCCTCAGCACCACAGCTCTGACAACCACCCCCAGGAGGTGACAGCAAAGAAAGGAAGGAGCAACTGCTCCCCCAGAACCCTTCTATACTCCCCCGGGCTGCTCTCAGCAGCTGTGTGCCCAACTCAGTGCTGTGAGGTGGAACGGGGAGATGGAGACACACACACACACACACCAGAGAGTTTATAAAATGTGCACACGGAAACACTTCCTAAAGAAAGAAGTGGAGTTCTCAAGTCACTATGGGACTACGGAACTCGGCATCTGAGCATCCCCTTCTGTATAATGGGGTTGGCTGGGCAGTCCCTTCCAGCTCTGGCTTCCTCTCAGACCAGGATTATAGGATCCTGAAAAGCCAGTGCTTCCCTCAGGGAGTGGAAGGTTCTGGGGCTCAGCAGGGGGCCCGGAGCCATTGTGGAGGGCTTTCAAGGTGAGGACAATAGAAGAGCAGGTCTTGCGTGGCTTGGACAGGGAAAGAGGAGAAGGAGTGGGCATTTGAGGCAGGGGGTGTAGCATGAGCCAGGCTTGAGGGCCAGAAATTGGGGTGAACTCTGATGGGGGCTGGGTAGAGAAGCTTCTACAGGCCCCAGCTCAAGAGACCCCATCTCTCCTCCTCTCTGTCACTTGCCATGCTGGATCCGTGCATGATCACACTCCTGGACTCGCCTCCTTGCCCTGAGATCCAGACCCCCGTATTCAGCTGCCCCCTCAGCTCCTCCACTCACATATTTAATGCCAGACTCTTCATGTCTATCTACACCTGCACTTTTGCACCCAATCCAACTCCCCGCCATGTCCCCCATCTCAGGTAATGTCAGCTCGGTCCTTCCAGCTGCTCAAGCTAAAACCCATGTCACTTTGACTCTCCCTCTTGCCCACTACATCCAAGCTGCTAGCACTGCTCCTGATCCAGCTTCAGATTAAGTCTCAGAATCTACCCACTTCTCGCCTTCTCCACTGCCACCAGCCCATTCTGTGCCAGCATCATCACTTGCCAGGACTGTTACAATAGCCTCCTCACTAGCCCCACTCACAGCAGCCAGATGAATCTTTTGAGTCCATGCCTAGTCACTGGGGCAAAATAGGACTCCGAGGAGAAAGTCCGAGACCAGCTCCGGCAAGATGAGCAAACACAGCCTGTGCAGGGTGCAGGGAGGGCTAGAGGCCTGAGGCTTGAAACAGCTCTCAAGTGGAGGGGGAAACAACCATTGCCCTCATAGAGGACACATCCACACCAGGGCTGTGCTAGCGTGGGCAGGCAAGCCAGGTGCTGGACCTCTGCACGTGGGGCATGTGTGGGTATGTACATGTACCTGTGTTCTTGGTGTGTGTGTGTGTGTGTGTGTGTGTGTGTGTCTAGAGCTGGGGTGCAACTATGGGGCCCCTCGGGACATGTCCCAGCCAATGCCTGCTTTGACCAGAGGAGTGTCCACGTGGCTCAGGTGGTCGAGTATCTCATACCGCCCTAGCACACGTGTGACTCCTTTCCCCTATTGTCTACGCAGCCTGCCCTTGGACAAGGACCCGATGCCCAACCCCAGGCCTGGCAAGCCCTCGGCCCCTTCCTTGGCCCTTGGCCCATCCCCAGGAGCCTCGCCCAGCTGGAGGGCTGCACCCAAAGCCTCAGACCTGCTGGGGGCCCGGGGCCCAGGGGGAACCTTCCAGGGCCGAGATCTTCGAGGCGGGGCCCATGCCTCCTCTTCTTCCTTGAACCCCATGCCACCATCGCAGCTGCAGGTGAGGCCCTGGGCCCAGGATGGGGCAGGCAGGGTGGGGTACCTGGACCTACAGGTGCCGACCTTTACTGTGGCACTGGGCGGGAGGGGGGCTGGCTGGGGCACAGGAAGTGGTTTCTGGGTCCCAGGCAAGTCTGTGACTTATGCAGATGTTGCAGGGCCAAGAAAATCCCCACCTGCCAGGCCTCAGAGATTGGAGGCTCTCCCCGACCTCCCAATCCCTGTCTCAGGAGAGGAGGAGGCCGTATTGTAGTCCCATGAGCATAGCTATGTGTCCCCATCCCCATGTGACAAGAGAAGAGGACTGGGGCCAAGTAGGTGAGGTGACAGGGCTGAGGCCAGCTCTGCAACTTATTAGCTGTTTGATCTTTAAAAAGTTACTCGATCTCCATGAGCCTCAGTTTCCATACGTGTAAAAGGGGGATGATCATAGCATCTACCATGTGGGCTTGCAGTGCAGAGTATTTGAATTAGACACAGAACAGTGAGGATCAGGATGGCCTCTCACCCACCTGCCTTTCTGCCCAGCTGCCCACACTGCCCCTAGTCATGGTGGCACCCTCCGGGGCACGGCTGGGCCCCTTGCCCCACTTACAGGCACTCCTCCAGGACAGGCCACATTTCATGCACCAGGTATGGACGGTGAATGGGCAGGGAGGAGGGAGCAGGTGGGAGAACTGTGGGGAGGGGCCCCGAGTCAGGCTGAACCACAGCCCACATGTGCCCCCCAGCTCTCAACGGTGGATGCCCACGCCCGGACCCCTGTGCTGCAGGTGCACCCCCTGGAGAGCCCAGCCATGATCAGCCTCACACCACCCACCACCGCCACTGGGGTCTTCTCCCTCAAGGCCCGGCCTGGCCTCCCACCTGGTAACACCTCAGCCCGTACCCCATGGCTTCACAGAACCCCCAAGTCCCCAGATCCTTGGCTGTGAGCAGTGTAGGCTATTCTGAATTGCAGTACTCTGGGGGTCAAAGGTGTCAGGTCTCAGAGGCTTGGAAACTCCACCCTCCAAAAAACGTCAGGTGCAGAACCTTAAAGATGCAGAATGTCAAAATCACAAAACCACAGAGCTTTACAAAGCTAGTCAAAATGTCAGCACCTGCGAATGGCCGTCTTTAAGCTTCTCTGCCAGAAGCCTGGGACTTTGGGGACAGCAGAGCCCCCTGGGAGTCAGGGTTTTCGAGGCTCAGGAGGGTGGGAAGCTCAAAATGAGAGGCCTTGTGGGCCAAGCTCCAGAGCCCAGCCCACAGCCTCCATAGGTGCCCTGTCCCCACCCACAGGGATCAACGTGGCCAGCCTGGAATGGGTGTCCAGGGAGCCGGCACTGCTCTGCACCTTCCCAAATCCCAGTGCACCCAGGAAGGACAGGTCAGTGGACAGGGCTGGGAAGGATCCTCGCCCTCCTATCCCCTCCCCTGACACCCTCTGTCCCCCCAGCACCCTTTCGGCTGTGCCCCAGAGCTCCTACCCACTGCTGGCAAATGGTGTCTGCAAGTGGCCCGGATGTGAGAAGGTCTTCGAAGAGCCAGAGGACTTCCTCAAGTGAGTGGCCCAGGCCTGTGCCAGTCTACCGGCCCTGGCTTGTGGGGAGAGGTCTAGGGTGCAGATCTCAGCTCAGGCTTCATCCCAATAAGTAGTAAGATGCAAGAGCTAAACTCTGAGACTGTGGGTTCAAATCCCAGCTCCATCCCTGACTGGCTGTGTGACCTTGGACAAATTACTTAGCTTCTCTCGACCTCAGTTTTCTCGTATGTATAATAAGAAACGTTTGTGCTGTTATTTACCCCCATTTTACAGACAAGGAGACTGAGGCCAAAGAGGTTAAGTGTCTTGATCAAAATCTCCCAGTTCCTGAGTGACAGAGCTGGGATTTGAACCCATGTAGCCAGGCTCTAGAATCTGCACTCCTGCTTTGCCCTGCTACTCCTCATGCCAACATGCCAGCCTTATTCCACTGTTCCCAAAGTTCTAGCTCCTCTAGATGGCTGCTGCTGCCTCCCCTCAGTCCCCCCATATGTCTCTCTCTCTCTCTCTCTCTCTCTCTCTCTCTCTCTCTCTCTCTCTCTCTCTCTTTCTCTCTCTCTCACACACACACACACACAAATACACACCACACTACACACAACCCTTAGCAGCAACCCCACATGTCCTGTCCTCCTTGCAGCCAGGCCTTTGCACAGGCCGTCCCTCCACCCAGAATGCTTTGCCCACTCTCACCTCCCTGGCCCATTCTCAACTCACCACACTTCCAACATTATCTCCAGCACTCTGGCCAGGCTCAAGTGGTGAGTTCAGGCCTGACATGCAGTAGGTGCTGAGGGGCATGTGTTAAGGGAACGAGGGGTGTGAGAGGGAGACTGAGGTAGAGAGGGGAGGGGAGCTGGGGCTCAGAGGAGAGAACTCCCAGAGGGTCTGGGCCCTCCCCATTCAGAGCATTGAGCCAGACCAGGCCTGTCGTGGTCACCTGCATGGAATCTTCTCCCTACTTAGGCACTGCCAGGCGGACCATCTTCTGGATGAGAAGGGCAGGGCACAATGTCTCCTCCAGAGAGAGATGGTACAGTCTCTGGAGCAGCAGGTAATGCCAGGGCGGTGGAGGGTAAGGGATAGGGATAGTGCGCAAAACCTTCTGTCCACCATGTGCCAGAAACCAAGTTCACCTGGGACGAGGGCTGGTATAAAGGAAGGAAGAGGAGCGGGCACTCCCAGGGAAGACCGTAGCCTGGGCAAAGATGTGGCAGAGAAGGGCCAGGCTGAGGCCTCATGTTTGTGCCATTTCACAGCTGGTGCTGGAGAAGGAGAAGCTGAGTGCCATGCAGGCCCACCTGGCTGGGAAAATGGCACTGACCAAGGCTTCATCTGTGGTGAGCGACCCCAGGACTGGTGGTGGCAGACTCAGACTGCTGGGGGGCAGGGAGGAGGTCTGCACGGTGCAGGGAACCTAACCTCACATTCAGGTCCTGAGAGCTAGGGGCCCCTGTCCCCAGCTCCAAACATGCCCAGACCTGGAAATCTGTCCCCTTCTACTTACAAACCCTCTGACCCCGGCTGGGCGTGGTGGCTCACGCCTGTAATCCCAGCACTTTGGGAGGCCGAGGCGGGTGGATCACGAGGTCAGGAGTTCAAGACCAGCCTCGCCAAGATGGTGAAACCCTGTGTCTACTAAAAGTACAAAAAATTAGCCAGGCGTGGTGGCAGGTGTCTGTAGTCCCAACTACTTGGGAGGCTGAGGCAGAGAATTGCTTGAACCTGGGAGGCGGAGTTTGCAGTGAGCTGAGATCATACCACTGCACTCCAGCCTAGGCGACAGATCAAGACTCCGTCTCAAGAAAAAAAAAAAAAAAAAACCCTCTGACTCTAAGATCCCCAAACACTGTGATCCTGAGTTGTTAAAGCAAATGCAAATAGCCAGACTTGCCAGATGCAGGCTGTGTGCCAGCAGGACCAGCTATGTAACCTGCAGGGCCCCTTGTTCAGATTTCAAGATGGCGACCACAGAGCATTAAACAAAGCACAGGGTGCCACATAACCACATAGGTCACACGCCCATGAAGCCAGCCCTGGAGGCCAGGCACTGTTTCTGAGCGCTTTGCTGGTGGTAATTTATTTCTCATGATGCGAATGTACAGATGAGGAATATTGAGGCCAGGGGGGTTTAGGTGACTTTCCCAAGGTCACAGTTGGGTGGTAAAGAGCCCTATTCAACCCCAGTTCATGGTCCCAGCATCAGTGGCCACATACGACATCCGCACCTGTGCTCTAATAAATACGGCTCATGCTGTTTTGTGGGATTCCACCTCAGACTGGAATTTAGAAGAGGGCGTCCTTGCTTTGAAAAACACTGATTTAAAAATAAAGTGGAGCCAGGCGCAGTGGCTCATGCCTGTAATCCCAGCACTTTGGGAGGCTGAAGCGGGTGGATCACATGAGGTCAGGAGTTCGAGACCAGCCTGGCTAACATGGTGAAACCCCATCTCTACCAAAAATACAAAAATTAGCTGGGCGTAGTGACGGGCACCTGTAGTCCCAGCTACTCGGGAGGCTGAGGCAGAAGACTTGCTTGAATCTGGGAGGTGGGGGTTGCAGTGAGCCGAGATTGCACCACTGCACTCCAGCCTGGGCGACAGAGCAAGACTCAGTATCAAAAAAAATAAAAAACATAAAATAGAAAGTAAAAAGTGGGAAGTTTAAGCCTCTGGGTCACCAGCCTCTCCCCCTCACCCAGGCATCATCCGACAAGGGCTCCTGCTGCATCGTAGCTGCTGGCAGCCAAGGCCCTGTCGTCCCAGCCTGGTCTGGCCCCCGGGAGGCCCCTGACAGCCTGTTTGCTGTCCGGAGGCACCTGTGGGGTAGCCATGGAAACAGCACATTCCCAGGTAAGAATGGTCCTTGCACTACACGGTGCCCCCAAGCTCCTAATCCTGACAGGCTCTGGGTGGAGGGTGCAAAGGAGCTCCATGCTGCCCCTTCCCACCACCACCACCACTGCAGCTGCCGCCACTCAGCCTTTGGGAAAATGCATCCGCTCACAAAAGCTTCCTTTCGGGATGTCCGTGGCCTGAAAGCCCCCCATATGGTCTCGAGTGTCGGGCCCCTAGCCCTGACTCCCTTGGGGATTGGGGCCATGCCTCACCCACTCTGGACTCCAGCTACTATATTCGGCCATCAGAAGGGAGGGACCCTGCTAAGTAATTCCAGGAGCACCTCCTTTCCTCCCCTGACCAAGGAAAATCGGGGTGGATTCGCCCGAGCTCACCTATCCACTGCTCTCCACCAGGCCTGGCCTGTGGGCTTAGCAGGGATCAGAGACCTTGACTGTCATCCTGGCTCTGCCATTTAACCTCTTGCATCCTTTGGTGTGCAAGTTACTCCGCTTCTTTTCAACCTCGGGGAGAACTATTTTGGCAGAAGTGGTGCAAAGAATAAATGATACAACTTATGTCAGGTGCTCAGCAAACAGTACCTGTGCCCGTGGACACGGGTGTTGACGGTGAGATCTCAGGCCTGTAGACTCACCTTGTAGGGGGAGGGGACAGGGAGCTAGCTAGGAGGTCCTGCATGGGGCTTGATTCATCCCCACCCTCTGACAGAGTTCCTCCACAACATGGACTACTTCAAGTTCCACAACATGCGACCCCCTTTCACCTACGCCACGCTCATCCGCTGGGTAAGCAGGGCAGCTCGGCCCCAAGGAGGAGGAAGACAAAGATGGGGTGGGGGACCTGCCTCCCAAACTCCTGTCTCCCTCTGAGTGCCCTCAGAGTGGGTTCCTCCATTCCCAAGCCCCAGCCCCAAGGATCCCCAAGCCGTGCCTCAAATGTGACCCCTCATGCTGGCTTCACCCCAAACCTGTCCGCAAATCCAAACCTAAACCACCATCCAGGCCAGAGCATGCCAAATTCTGACCCTAAACCTACCCCTTTCCAGATGTCCACCTCAGCCCCATACCTAACCCTCTCCTGGACCCATAAAATAGCCTAAAGCTAACCCCATCTCTGCACCTTGCCCTAAACGTACCCCAGCTCTTACTCTAACTCCTTCCCCAGCCTTTATGCCAACCCAACCCCATCTCCTTCCCTGGCCCCAACGTACCCCAGTATGTCAATACACCCCCAACTGGGCACCATTCCCAACCTTTCCTTGTAACACCCATTTGATCCTTAACTTCATCACCCCATCCCAACTCCTTCATCTCAGCCTCCCCAATGCCTTCTCAGAACCTTCATCCTAGCGCCACACCTAACCCCAAACCTGAACCTCACCCCTACATGATACCAGATATTCCCCGACTGTCTCTGAACTGAAACCCTGACCTAGCCCCATCCTGACTGATAGCCTCACTGCAATCATCATCGCTGACTCTGTAATCCCATTCCTGAATCCAAACTGATCAAATTCCCTGACCCTCAGCCTCACTCCACACCGAACCCCACAACTAACCTCATCCTTGCCCTGAGCCTAACCACCTAACCATGTCCCTGACACGTAAGATACTCGATAATTCAAACCATCTCTGGCTTCTGACCTAAAGCCAAGTCATCCCATCCCTCACCCCTAGACCCCCCACCTGAGTCCACCCCAGCCTGACTCTTAACCCACCCCTTCCCTGACCCTTAAGTTGGCCTGGCCCTTTACCCCTTCCAAATCCTTGACCCCACTTCTGACCCTTCACCTTCCCCAACCCTGAAATGTCACCTCCACAGAGAACCCCAACTCCAACTCCATCCCAGACCTTTCACCTCACTTCAGCCCTAGCCCTGAACAAGACCCCACTCCCAACCTCAGTCCTGATCCCTTACCTAATCCCAGAACAACCATACCCACACCCATCTAACCCTGCCCAACCCGACACTTCACCCCTTTTCTAACCCCATCTTTGACCCCATGCTTCACCCCACATCTAGTCCTGTCCCTGATTACCTGCCCCTACAATTCCGCCCCCATGTCAGATGGCTCGGGGTAGGTCATAGCCCCTCTAAACCCCAAGTTTGGGGAATGTGCCCCTTACCCCACCCCCCAACTTCCAGGCCATCCTGGAGGCTCCAGAGAAGCAGCGGACACTCAATGAGATCTACCACTGGTTCACACGCATGTTTGCCTTCTTCAGAAACCATCCTGCCACCTGGAAGGTGAGCTCCTCTGAGGTGGCGGTGACTGGGATGGCCTCAAGTGCCATCGCAGCTCAAAGTGGGCAGGCCTGGGTCTGGGCTCATAGGCACATTGGGGAGGAACGGGATGTGGGTTGTTGGTGGTGGCTGCTGGCCTCAGAGGTTGACGCCCACCTGCTCCCTGTCCCCGGCCTTCCACAGAACGCCATCCGCCACAACCTGAGTCTGCACAAGTGCTTTGTGCGGGTGGAGAGCGAGAAGGGGGCTGTGTGGACCGTGGATGAGCTGGAGTTCCGCAAGAAACGGAGCCAGAGGCCCAGCAGGTGTTCCAACCCTACACCTGGCCCCTGACCTCAAGATCAAGGAAAGGAGGATGGACGAACAGGGGCCAAACTGGTGGGAGGCAGAGGTGGTGGGGGCAGGGATGATAGGCCCTGGATGTGCCCACAGGGACCAAGAAGTGAGGTTTCCACTGTCTTGCCTGCCAGGGCCCCTGTTCCCCCGCTGGCAGCCACCCCCTCCCCCATCATATCCTTTGCCCCAAGGCTGCTCAGAGGGGCCCCGGTCCTGGCCCCAGCCCCCACCTCCGCCCCAGACACACCCCCCAGTCGAGCCCTGCAGCCAAACAGAGCCTTCACAACCAGCCACACAGAGCCTGCCTCAGCTGCTCGCACAGATTACTTCAGGGCTGGAAAAGTCACACAGACACACAAAATGTCACAATCCTGTCCCTCACTCAACACAAACCCCAAAACACAGAGAGCCTGCCTCAGTACACTCAAACAACCTCAAAGCTGCATCATCACACAATCACACACAAGCACAGCCCTGACAACCCACACACCCCAAGGCACGCACCCACAGCCAGCCTCAGGGCCCACAGGGGCACTGTCAACACAGGGGTGTGCCCAGAGGCCTACACAGAAGCAGCGTCAGTACCCTCAGGATCTGAGGTCCCAACACGTGCTCGCTCACACACACGGCCTGTTAGAATTCACCTGTGTATCTCACGCATATGCACACGCACAGCCCCCCAGTGGGTCTCTTGAGTCCCGTGCAGACACACACAGCCACACACACTGCCTTGCCAAAAATACCCCGTGTCTCCCCTGCCACTCACCTCACTCCCATTCCCTGAGCCCTGATCCATGCCTCAGCTTAGACTGCAGAGGAACTACTCATTTATTTGGGATCCAAGGCCCCCAACCCACAGTACCGTCCCCAATAAACTGCAGCCGAGCTCCCCACATGCTGGACTATCACCCCATATAAGGGTTGCGGTCAGTGGGCAGGGGTCTGGGTCCAAGGCCGCAGCAGGAGGAACTGGACAGCGGAGGAAGTAGCTAGGGCATGTGCTTGGCCACTGCCTCCAGCACCCCAAATCCCTGCCTGAGGCTGGGGAGAGACCTCTGCCGGCGGCTCCTCAGGCCTCCCGGACCCGGCCTAGGAGGCCAGCGTTCTCCTGGCGGAGGGCTCGGTAGTCCTCCCGGATCTTCTCCAGGTTGCTGAGGGTCTTCTTGCCCAGCTCTGTCTCGATCTGAGGCAATGTGAACACATGCCCCCTCAGCACACACAGCCCCTTTCCCAGCTCCTGCTCACCAGCCCCCATCACAGCCACTCTGGGCCCCTCCCACCAACTCCAACAGCCTGCTCTGTCCCATGGCCAGGCCTCGTGTGGTGTTCCCTCTACCCAAAGCATCCTTCGCCATGTGGCAGGATTCCCCCTACATCTTTAAGCTGAAGCCTCTGCCCATGGCCCTGGGAGGCAGACAGGAGGGCCCTTGGGGTGGAAGCTGGGGCTCACAGTAGGCCACTTGCCTGTCCCAGGTCACAGGCACTAAGGGGCAGGGCTGGGTGTCCAGCCATCGGCTGTGTGTGGCTCCACAGCCTCTGTCAGCATAACCTGAGGAACTGTCCCCCCGGCCCGCCTTGGCTCCCCATCCTGCCCCCAGGCCTCACCTGCTCCTCGAGGTCTCGAACCTCCCGCATGATGGTGCCTGTGTCCTCGATGGTCTGGATGAGCTGGCTGCAGTTCTGGGGACAACAGGAGCAGAAGGCTTGCACCCAGTCCCACCCACCCCCAGCAGCCCCACCCCAGGCACATGTCTCCCCTCACCTCGTGCAGAGCAGCTAGATACTTATAGGCCTTCCGAACAGCATCGTCCTTCTTGGCATCCTGACCAGACACAGGGACCTCAAAGGTATCAGTGGGCTGCCCTTGACCATCTCCATGCCCTAAGAAGGCCACCCTCTCCCACCACCCCACTAGCTTCATCCTCCATGAAACAAAGCCAGCCCTGGGTATCAGTGCACCTCCAGCCTCGCACAGGGCCTGGGTCTGGACCCCAGCCAGCCAATTAGCAGATGCACAAGGCAGCAGCCCAGCCTCACCCCACTCACCCCCGCCCAACCTGCCCCACACCTTGAACACAAGCTCATCAGTCACCGCAAACGTCCGGTCCAGCTTCCCAGATAGGGAGTTGATTTCCTTCTGAAGCTCCTTCGTATCAGACAAGATCTGGCAGACACCATGGCAGCCATGAGCCCCTGCCTGGGGCAGGCTGGCTAGCAGTGGAGGGTCCTCATGTGTACCAGACAGGGACTGTGTCACTGTGTCAGGGGTGACTGGGATGGATTGTGTGTGACTATTCTGTGTTAGAGTGTGACTGGACAGCTCTGCCTGAGGGTGTGAGGTCCCTGTGCGGCCACACTATGCCTGACAGCCCACATGACCCACCCTCCATGGCCCTGGCAGTGTACCTTGGTGATCTCTTCCTTCTGCTTCCGGATGTTGCCCACGATCTCCAGGATGCGCTGGGTGTAGGCCAGCCGGGACACATCTCTGGGCAGAGTCTCCAGCTCTGACATCTAGGCAGGGATATAGCAGGCACTGCCCCAGGACCATCCCCCCACCCTCCTAAGCTACCCAGGTCCCTCACACAGGCCTTACCAGCTGCTTATAGACCTCCTCCTTCCTGCGGGCCTCTTCAGCAGCCGCCCGGACACTCTGGTGCAGTTCTTGGATCTCTGCCAGCCGTCGAGAAGATTCCAGCTGCCATGAGCCCACAGGCAGAAGACAGTGAGCAGAGCATAGGGATGGCCCCCTAGAGAGGGACCGAGCCTGCCCTGGCCCGCCCACAGCCCAGGGCCCCACTGCTTACCTCTCTGCAATCCTGCAGCTTTCGGAGGTGGCGGTACTCAGCGAGGAGTGGGACCCGGTGCTTCTCCCACTGACCCGCCAAGTGGATGACCCGCTGGGCACTATTCTCCACCACAAGCTGGTGGGGGATGGGTACATGTCACACAGGCTGGGCCCTCCAACCCCACCCCACCCCACCCTGCCCCTCTCCGCCCAGCTACAGCCCCAACCCCACCTGCAGCTTGGCAAGGTTGGCAGTCCCATCGGGCAGCAGCTCCACCGCGCGGCTCTTCAGGCGCAGGGCCTGCTCACGCTCTGCTGTACTGAGCTTGCTGTGCCGGCACTCAGACTCTGCCTGGCCGGTGGATACCCAGTCACATGCCACAGCCCCCATGGAGCTCCACAGATGACTGTACACCCCTGTGGCCCCCACAGGCCTCTCTAACAGCTCCACGCTGGTGCCAAGGACCCCGAGGACCCCCTAATCCCCTGTCCATGCAGACCCGTGGGTACCCCACAGATGCCCACAGACCCTCCGAGGACCCCTCAATCCCCTGCCCATGCAGACCCGCGGTGCCCCATAGATGCCCACAGACCCTCACCCTGGCCTGATTCTCATAGCCACCCTCAAGAGGCCCACAGATCCCTAATGGCTCCCAGGAACCCTTCTGCCATGTGCAGACCTCTACAGAGCACCTCTTGCCCCATCTAGTCCCTCACACCCCGAGGCCCTCCTTCTGACCTAGCCCAACGCGCAGCCCCTCCTCCGCCCCTTACCTGCACAAAGCTGACGCCCAGGGTCTTCATGTCGGCCTCAACCTCCTCAATGCTGCGGTTCACTCCTTCCAGCTGCTCCCGAAGGGACTCGAGCTCCTGTTCCTGAGCTGCCCACGTGACCTGGGAGGCCCAGGCCAGTCAGGGTTGGGGTGTCAGGCCCAGTAGACAAGCAAGGGCCTGGGACACCCCCCTCCAAACCACTCTGCTCACCTGTTCAGGCCGCCGGGAGGTGGCTGGCACATCTGACACCTGAGTGGCCTGGGCCTGGGGCTCCTAAGGGGAGTGACGAGGGGCATCCTGGCTGCCAGGGAAGGCCCTTCCTCACGTGGCCCAGCCTCAGCCTCCCCTGAGAACTGCCCCCAGTGCGGCATGCATGCCCACTGAAGCACCGATGGTGGCCAGACTGTGACTATGTGGGTAAAGGCACCATCTGCAACCTCGGGCCAGAGTGCTTGCTCGTGGAGAAATCTCCCTGACCCTGTCACAGCTCCTACCCACCTGCCCCATCTCTCAAGCCTCAAATGCCCATGAGAAGGATGGGGGGCCCTCAGAGTGAACATCTTAGGACAGAAGATATGCTCAAAGGAAACTGCCTGAGGAAAGGGGGTGTTGCCCCAAGAACACCCCCACACCTTTGCATGGTTCCCACCTATCCACATTTTCTCCAGTCAAGTCCCTAATAAGCTAGGGGACCCCTCTGGGTACCCATCCCACAGTGGGGCGAGGGCCTGTCCAGTGGGAACACAGGAACCTGTGTGGATAAAGGTGTGGTGCTGACACAAAAAGCCACCCTCCAAGCCTGCCACGCCCATCCACACATCTCATGTCCTCAGGCGCACCCACCAGATGGAAGGTGAACTTCTCTGAGTGCGTGAAGCGGGAGCCCTTAGGAGCACCAGTCTTGGCCCCAGCACCCCAGGCCTGCAGCAGTTCTCCCAGGTCCCGGGCTTGTATGGGGGCCCCAAGCAGGCCCCAGCTTTGGCGCAGATGCTCAGTCAGTTGCTTTTGCAGCCGCTGCCGCTGAGCCCGTGTGTCCTCCTGGGGAGAAAAGGCGGGGGAAGCAGGAAGGTGTAGGGGCCCACCTAGCACCCAAGGCCCTGCCTCCTCCAAGGACCCCCTGACAAGAGTATACTGACAAGTCACCCCCACCCTCCAGCCTTCCCACTAAGGCAGGCCCTGCTCTACTCTCCTGCTCCACCAGCCTGGGATCTCCTCGAGGACAGGGGTCTCCTCTTGCTCACAGACATACTTCTCTCCACCCACTAGATCCCCATGCTGGAGAAGGATGTGGGAAGAGAGGGGGGTGGGCCTAGAGCCCCCAAATCCAAGAGAAGCATAGACAGGATATCGGGGGACAGGGCAGAGACAGGGAATCAAAGGTACCAAGCACAGAAAGAGGCAGAGAGAGAGAGGCAAGAGAGGGACAACAGAGTTTCAAGATAATGGGAAAATCTGATTATGAACTCAAGTATTGGATGGTATTAAGATATCATTGTTGGCCGGGTACAGTGGCTCATGCCTATAATCCTAGCCCTTTGAAAGGCCAAGGTAGGTAGATCACCTGAGGTCAGGAGATCAAGACCAGCCTGGCCAACATGGTAAAACCCCGACTCTACTAAAAATACAAAACTTAGTGTGCTCCTGTAATTCCAGCTACTTGGGGGCTGAGGCAGGAGAATGGCTTGAACCCAGGAAGTGGAGGTTGCAGTGAAGCGACATCACGCCATTGCACTCCAGCCTGGGCAACAGAGAGAGACTCCGTCTCAAAAACAAAACAAAAAAAAACAAAAAAAAAACAAAACAAAACAAAACAAAAAAAAACCCACAAGATATTATTGTTAACTTCATTAGCCATGAAAATGGTCCAGTGGTTACCTTGAAAACTGAATGTCCTTATGAGTTAAGAGATGTAGTCCTAAGTATTTAGAGCTGAAATGACATGATGTCTGAGATTTGCTTTAAAATAATACAGCAACAAAGAAAAAGTTGGGAGAGAAAAGATGAAGAAAAGTTGGCAAAATGGTACATAGGATTCACTAGAATATTCTCTCTACATTTATGTTTGAAAATTACTACAGATATAAAAACAAAGACAGACAGCCAGGCGTGGTGGCTCACGCCTGTAATCACAACACTTTGGGAGGCCGAGGCAGATGGATCATGAGGTCAAGAGATCGAGACCATCCTGGCCAACATGGTGAAACCCTGTCTCTACTAAAAATACAAAAATTAGCTGGGCGTGGTGGTGCATGCCTGTAGTCCTAGCTATGTGGGAGGCTGAGGCAGGAGAATCACTTGAACCCAGGAGGCAGAGGTTGCAGTGAGCTGAGATCGTACCACTGTACTCCAGCCTGGGTGACAGAGCGAGACTCCATCTCAAAAAATAATAATAATGATAAAAAAATAAAAATGTAAAAAGACACAGAGGTGAAGACAGAAAGAGAGGACAGATAAAAAAGTGGACAGACCAGGAGGGGGCCGACACAGAGGTGGAGAAAAAGAGGGGCAGACAGAGATGTGGACACAGAGGAAGAGGAGACAGATAAAGAGGCAGACAGAAGGGGAGGGGGGCCAAATACAGAGGTGGACAGAGAGGAAGAGGGGACAGATATAAAGGTGGACAGAAGGGGAGGGGTACTGATACCTGGGTGAACACAGAGGAAGAGGGAACAGAAATAGGAGAGCAGAATGGAGGGAGGGAAAAAGAGAAGTGGACAGAGAGGAAAAGGGGACAGATAAAGAAATGGACAGAGGGAGAGGGGTGACAGAGAGGTGGACAGAGAGAAGGAGGGGACAGATGCAGAGGTGGACAGAGGAAGAGGGGACAGATAAGTGGACAGAGGGGAAGAGGGGACAGATACAGAGATGGATAGAGAAGAAGAGGGGACAAAGAGGTTGACAGAGAAGAAGAGGGGGCTCGGCATGGTGGCTCATGCCTGTAATCCCAGCACTTTGGAAGGCCAAGGTGGGTGGATTGCTTCAGGTCAGGAGTTCGAGACCAGCCTGGTCAACATGGCAAAACCCCATCTCTACAAAAAATACAAAAATTAGCCGGGCGCACGCACCTGTAGACCCAGCTACTCAGATGCCTGAGGTGGGAAGATTGCTTGAGCCCGGGAATTTGAGGCTGCCTTGAGCCCTGATCATGCCATTGTAGTCCAGCCTGGGTGACAGAGCGAGACACCGTCTCAAAAAAAAAGAAGAAGAGAGGACAGATAAAGAGATGGACAGAAGGGGAGGAGGGACAAATACAGAGGTGGACAGAGAGGAAGAAGGGAGAGATAAGGGGACAGAGGGAAGGGGCAACAGATACAGAGGTGGACAGAGAGGAAGAGGAGAGAGATTAAGAAGTAAACAGAGGCAGAGGGGTGACAGATATATAGGTGGACAGCAAGGAAGGGGAGAGATACAGAGGTGGACAGAGCAGAAGGGGACACAGATAAAAAGGTGCACAGAGAAGAAGAGGGGACAGATAAAGAAGTAGACAGAGGAGAAGGGGGAACAGATAGATAGACAGAGCAAGAGAGGAATTCAGTACAGAAATGAGGAGACAGAGAGGTAAGAAAGAGGAGCAGCAAAAACACAGAACTAGAATAATGGGGACAGGCAGAAATTGTGCAAAAACCTAGAAACCAGAAAAATGAACATCAGTGACAAGTGCAGAAACAGAGAAAGATTAGGGCCGGGTGCGGTGGCTCATGCCTGTAATCCCAACACTTTGGGAGGCCAAGGTGGGCAGATCACCTGAGGTCAGGAATTCGAGACCAGCCTAGCCAACATGGCAAAACCCTGTCTCTACTAAAAATATAAAAATTAGCCAGGTGTGGTGGTGCAAGCCTGTAATCCCAGCTACTTGGGAGGCTGAGGCAGGAGAATCGCTTGAACCCGGGAGATGGAGGTTGCAGTGTGCTGAGATCACGCCACTGCACTCCAGCCTGGGTGACAGAGCAAGACTCCAAATGAATGAATGAATTAATGAATGATGAAGGCAGGTAGCCAATCTGGATTGCTCCAGTTGCCAGGAATCTCAAGCACATTATTCAGTCTAACTACTGCCCTGAGAGGAGAGCACTATTACTACCCCAAATTTTAGCACAGGAAACCAAGGCTCTGAGGAGGGATACTGACTTGTCCCAGGTTCTCCTTTTTTCTGACTCCAGTGTTCTTTCAGGTGGGGAGCTAGGTAAGCACACACAGAGGGGAAACAATGGAAGGGAGGGACAAAGTGGGGAAGGAGAGCAGAGGACCAGCGGGAGTGTCAGTGAGCAGCAGCCCAGACAGCAGGGAGCCAGGCATCTGGCTGTACCTGGGGTGGGAGGCGGGATGTCCGGTGGACCCAGTCCTCATCCCCTGGCCGGTCCCGGCCCGTCTGCTGGCAGAGCTGCAGGGCATGGTGTTCGAGGAGCGAGGCCACCCTTCCAACAGGCTGAGGCACCTGGGTAGGGACTGGAAGCAGCAGGGGACTCGCCTGGAACTCCCGTGGCTCTGGAGGCAGGAACAGAGTCAGCTGGCCCTGCCGCATGGCAACGCTATGAGGTTCCCCCCCACCTTCCTCCTCACCCCTCCCCACAGCCTCATGCTCACCACCTCTGGAACTCAATTCTGGCACGACCAGCCTGCTGGCATGGAAAGGCTTCTGGAGGGCCGAGCCCTGGTGGGAGAGCAGGCTCAGAATCTCCAGGGTGAAGTGGGATGAGGGTTGCCAGGGGTAGGGGGCCAAAACCCTGGGCACCCAGACGGGGACAAGAGAAGATCCATGGGAGTCAGGGGTCTCACCTGGAGGTGCTGCAGCTTGGGAGTGCGAAGGTGGGGCGGGACCCAAGGCAGTGCCAGCTGGTCCCGAATTTGGCTCCCAATGGCCCGGAGGAGAATAGCTGAGTCACCTATGGGGGATAGGGAGGAAGTGAATCAGATGTCAATGCTGCAAATCCAAAAGGGCATACCCTAGGAGACCAGCCTCCACTCCTGACCCCCATCCAGAGATACACATCTATCCAGCTTGCGTTCTCACGTTCAGTCATTCAACAAACACCGAGCACCTACTATGTACAGGTCGCTGTTCTAGACACTAGGGCTACTTCGTGGAACAAACTGGATAAAGGTCCCTGCCCTCAGGGAGCCGGCAAGCTAGCAGAGGAGAGAGATCATGAATAGGATCCTGAATACCATCCAGACTGCAGCCAGGTGGGGATCAGGAGAGGGCTGCGGAGAGGAGGTTAACCTCAAAGAGGTAAGGGAGTGAACCATGAGGGTACCTAGGGGAAAGGTAACCAACGATACAAAGGTGCAGAGGCGGGAGTGTACTGGGGTATGTTTGAGTAGCACCCAGGAGGCCCAAGTGGTTAGAGCGAAGTGAGAGAGAGGGAGGGCACAGGGGTTGAGTCAGGGAGGCCCCTCCCCGCACCAACGCACCACCGGGGTCAGCTCAACCTCAGCCCCCTGCCCCCTGCCCTGTAGCCCCTCTCTGATGCCTAATCCTCCTGCCTAGCTCTCCTGAAGGCACATACCGCCACCCCTACCCATCAACCTTTTTACCACCTCTACCTCTCTCAGCCCTACAGCCCCTAGAAGGCCCTCCTCTCCCCTCACCGCCCCCGCCCACACCCCAGACACCCAGTACCTGCAGGCTGGTCTGCATCCTCAGAGGCATCGGTGGGCAGACGCTCAGCCAAGAAGAGAAGCAGGTCTCGGAGGTCAGGCTCACTGGGGTAGAGGAAGTTCTGATAGCCAAGCTCCAAGGGATAGCCCAGGTCCTGAGGGTTGGTGGGCGGCTATCAGGAAGCAGGCAGGGTCCTCCTGCCCTGGGAGACTTGGGCCTAGGCTGAAAACGCTCCCACTTTCTCACTAACCACCACCCTCCCAACCTCCCCCAGCTCCCCAAGGCCTCTGGGCCCTGGGGGGAGTCACAGAGTGATGATAGTCAACGCTACAGAGAACAAGAAACAAGATTAAAGCTCTGGCCTTTCTATGACTCAAAATCCAGAGGCCATAAAAGAAAAGATGGGTACTTTTGAATACATGAAAAGAAAGAAAATATTTAAAGAAAATAGAATAAGCAAAGTCAAAAGTTAATGACAAGTTGGGAAAAAATATTTGGAGCCCATATCATAGGTAAAGAGCAAATCTACCTATTATAGAAAGAGTGCCTAAAAATAAACAGGACAAAAAGACCAGAAGCACAATAGCTCAGAACAAAAGGACTCATGAGGGTTCTGATGGGGACTGAGGAAACAGGCCAGGAGAGAAAGAAAGCCTTTTTCCTTTTTTTTTTTTTTTTTTTTTGAGACAGGGTCTCGCTCTGTCGCTCAGGCTGGAGTGCAGTAGCGTGATCTTGGCTCACTGGAACCTCTGCCTCCTGGGCTCAAGTGATCCTCCCACGCAGCCTCCCGAGTAGCTGGGATTACAGGTGCATGCCACCACACCCGGCTAATTTTTGTATTTTCAGTGTAGACAGGGCTACACCATGTTGGCCAGGCTGGTCTCAAACTCCTGGGCTCAAGCAATCTGCCCACCTCAGCCACCCAAAGTGCTGGGATTACAGGTGGGAATCACCACACCCGGCCTAGGAAAGCCTTTTTCTTCCAGAGTTGCCACTGCTTTGGAACTGCATAGACTCTGAAAGCAGACTTCCTGGATTCAAACCCAAGCTTTGCCTCTTACCAACTATACGACCTCAGGCAGATCACTTAATCCCTCTGTGCTTCACTTTCTTCATCTGAAAGAGGGTATACCAACAGTACATATAGCAGAAGGTTGTCCTGAGAATTAAATGAGTTAACACCATGTTACTTACCACAGGGCCTGGCACAGAGTACACTTAGAAGCCATCATTATTCTATACTTAGGAGTATACTGGGTCACAATGCAAGATATATTTATTTTGGAGGCTCAAGGTCAAATAAGTATAACCACTGGCTTTTAAGGTATTTTACTTTGGATTTTTTCCACAATATGCAATCAAAGAGCTGTGACTGATATAGAAACTCATTCCAGGAGTGGGGAAGGTGCCAAAATATGGAGGTGGCTAAGGTGCAGAAACTGTTGCCAGGAGCAGGGCATATGAAGAAAAGATGCCAGAACATGGCAGTGCTGAGTTGCGGGGGGGCTACAGGGACAGCACACAGCTGGATTAAGAGAACTCCTTTTGCCTGCTGCTGATAAACCAAGGCTGCTGGGGGCCAGACAACCATATGTACCTGTTTTTTATTTTTTTGGAAACAAGAGTCTTGCTCTGTCGCTCAGGCTGGAGTGCAGTGGTGCAATCTCGACTCACTGGAACCTCCGCCTCCTGGGTTCAAGCGATTCTCCTGCCTCAGCCTCCTGAGTAGCTGGGATTACAGGCACACACCACCACACCAGGCTAATTTTTGTATTTTTAGTAGAGACAGGGTTTCGCCAGGTTGGCCAGGCTGGTCTCAAACTCCTGACCTCTGGTGAGATCTGCCCGCCTCCACCTCCCAAAGTGCTGGAATTACAGGAGCCACCGTCCCCAGTCTTTTTTTTTTTTTTTTTTTTGGAGATGGGGTTTCACTCTGTTTCCCAAGCTAGAGTGCAGTGGCGCAATCACAGCCCACTGCAGCCTGGACCTCCCAGGCTCAAGCAATCCTCCTACCTCAGCCTCCCACATAGCTGGGACCACAGGCGTGTGCCACCATGCCCAGCTATTTTTTTTTTATTTTTTGTAGAGATGGGGGTCTCACTATGTTGCCCAGGCTGATCTCGAGCTCCTGGGCTCAACTGATCCTCCCACCTCAGACTCCCAAAGTGCTGGGATTACATGCAAGAGCCAACGTGCCCAGCCCACATGTACCTCCTGGCCACTGGAAAAGCCATAGTCACTAACCCCCACTAAAATCAATGTAAGCAAAAGCAGGTGAACAAAATCCAAGAGAGACAGCACTGAGGGAAGAACAGAGAACTGCAGGAAGCCTGAGCCCCCACCTCAACACCTCCTGCTGTGTACTCTCCTCTGCAAACAGAAGACATAACTTCCCCCCTATTAAGTGCTAACCTTAAGAATACATACAGTCCTGGGCCAGGGGACAGACTGCCTGCCTCATAAGGCCACCAAGAGCCCCAGAGAGAACAATGTGACAACTCCTGAGAGCTGGGTGAACCTGAGAGCGAAGGGATGGATGGAGCTCTGAGACCTGTTGCTAAGAGACAGAGACTGCATAAGCAAGGCCCAAATTTAACAACTCTAGCCACCCAGTCCCCTATATCTAAATGAAAGTTTTCACGGTAGTTACTCTATCGTCCCTCCACCACCATATACTTCCTGGGTCAGTTCAAAGTGTTTCCATTCACTATGTATTCACAGGTTCCAGATCGGACCTATCCAATAATAGTAATCCCATTTATGCAAAGCTTATTATAACCAGCTTTTCACACATTAACTCATGTTTAATCCTCACAGCAACCCTATACAGTAGCTACAATTCTTATACCCATTTTACACATGTGGAAACTTAGCCTCAAAAAGGTTAAGAGAGCCAGACGCGGTGGCTCACACCTGTAATCCCAACACTTTGGGAGGCTGAGGTGGGTGGATCACAAGGTCAGGAGTTCGAGACCAGCCTGGCCAAGATGGTGAAACCCTGTCTCCACTAAAAATACAAAAAAATTAGCCGGGCACAGTGGCAGACACCTGTAATCCCAGCCACTCGGCAGGCTGAGGCAGGAGAATTGCTGGAACCCAGGAGGCGGAGGAGGTTGCAGTAAGCCGAGATTGTGCCACTGCACTCCAGCCTGGGCTTCAAAAAAAAAAAAGACTGGCCCAAAGTCACAGAGTGAGTGAGCCAGGGGGAGTGGCATTACTTGCAGCTCTTGAATACAGGAACTGGACTCCTGGACTCAGCTCTATACTGGGAATGGGTGAGTGTTTCATCAGAATGGCTCTTTACCAGGCACAGTGGTGCACGCCTGTAGTCCCAACTACTCAGGAGGCCAAGGCAGGAAGATTGCTTGAGGCCAGGAGCTTAAGACCAGCCTGGGCAACATCTCTACAAAAGCGAGACCCCGTCTCTACGAAAAATTTAAAAATTCTCGGGCAGGGTGGCATGTGCCTATAGTCCTAGCTACTAGTGAGGCAGAGGCAGGAGAATCTCTTGAGGCCAGGAGTTCAAGACCAGCCTGGGCAATATAGCAAGACACTTACCTCTAAAAAAATTAAAATATTTTTTAAAAGAAAAGCACTTTATTTATTCTGTCACAGAGACATTGTTGGAATTGCTCTTAGCAGAGGCAGGATATGTGGTTCCCACAGAGGTAATATAGCAGACACTCTTTTGGGTAACCAGCATGCCTTTCTTTGGGTAATCATCCTTATCCCAACTCCACAGGATCCTGAAGGAGTGGCTAATCACAGTGTCCTATAGGAATGACCGTGTCGGCCGGGCGCAGTGGCTCACGCCTGTAATCTCAGCACTTTGGGAGGCCGAGGTGGGCAGATCACGAGGTCAGGAGTTCAAGACCAGCCTAGCCAACATAGTGAAACCCCGTCTGTACTAAAAATACAAAAATTAACTGAGCATGGTGGTGCATGCCTGTAGTCCCAGCTACTCGGGAGGCTGAGGCAGGAGAATCACTTGAACCCAGGAGACAGAGGTTGCAGTGAGCCGTGAGCTGAGATCACGCCACTGCATTCCAGCTTGGGTGACAGAGAGAGACTTCACATCAAAAAAAAAAAAAAAAGAAAAAAAGAAAAGAAAAGGCTGGGCACGGTGGCTCACTCCTGTAATCCCAGCACTTTGGGAGGCCAAGGCAGGTGGATCATGAGGTCAAGAGATTAAAACCATCCTGGCCAACATGGTGAAACCCCGTCTCTACTAAAAACATGAAAATTAGTTGGGTGTGGTGGCACACGCCTGTAGTCCCAGCTACTCGGGAGGCTGAGGCAGGAGAATTGCTTGAACCCGGGAGGCAGAGGTTGCAGTGAGCCAAGATCGCACCACTGCACTCCAGCTTGGGCGACAAAGTGAGACTCCATCTCAAAAAAAAAAAAAAAAAAGGAATGACCATGTCATCCAGACTGGGCCAATCAGAGCACAGAGTGATTAGTTTAGGAGTATATGACCCAGACAGAGTATTTTCTGGAACTAGGAAATGGATACTATGGGGTGGGGGTGGTATTTTGCAGCTAAATTTAAAACATAGAAGCCAGGAGCAGCCCAGGTGCAAACTGGATAAACTCATTTGCTCCTCATAAAAGCACTACATTTATCATCTCCATTTCACAAATAGGAAAACTGGGGCCCAGAAGGGTTAGGGTCACACAGTTACCAAGTGGTGGGGCTAGGATCTAAACTACTCAGGCAGTTTGGCAGTACAGTCAGCAGCCTTAACCACTAATGAAAACTAAGCCGCAGGAAAAATGACAGAGGAAAGGCAAGTGTTGCAGAGGAAAGGCAAGTGTTGCAGAGGAAAGGCAAGTGTTGCAAAGGAACTTGGTTACTTTGTAAAAGAGGAAGAAAGAGGATGTGTGCATTAGGAGGAGGGCCACTCACCATGCAGGCCTGAGCCAGGCTCATGGCCAGGCGGAACCGGGCAGACATGGCAAGAGGCAGCAGAGGGCTGAGGCCAGAGCCCACCGCAGGGTTGATCACACGCAGGCAGCGGACCACAGCCTCTACAACCAGCTCAGTGGTGAAGGCGCGCAAGGTCTGCACATCTGGAGGAACTGCCCTGAAGAAGGGGACCAGCTTGATCGCAGGAATAGTCAGGCAACAGGGATCAGGCTGAGCCCTGCAGCCTTTTGGAAACACTAGTACCAGGGTCGGGGCAGGGAGGATGCCTACAGTTCAGACAGATCCTGGATGTTGGTGACTGTGACTTCCATTTGGAAAACCAGGAACTAGGGAAATCCTCAAGTCCTAAGATCTTGGAGTAGGAGAATGGTGGGTGGAAGAGAACTCAGTTTAGAAAAATATCAAAATTTGGGAGTCTGGGAAGGTGAAAGGGTCCAGGTGGCACAATCTCTGGGTTTCTTGGTTCCCAGATAGTATGTTCTTTGCATACATATTGAGCTGCTAGAGTTTTGAGAAGACTAGATTTTAGGAGGCTGCTGTTTTCAGAAGTTCCAAATGTCAGGGTCCCTGGGTATCAAGATCCCTGAATATCAAGACCACCTAGTTTCAAGCAATACAAAAATCAGACTCCCTAGATGTTGGCATCCTGGGTTTTTAGGGCCTCTGAACGGAGGAGTCTTCGTGCGTCAGGGTGACCAAATGCTGATGTCAGATTTTAGAATTCTGGGTTTTTTTGGCTGGGCGTGGTGGCTCACACCTGTAATCCCAGCACTTTGGGAGGCGGAGGCGGGCAGATCACTTGAGGTCAGGAGTTGGAGACCAGCCTGACCAACATGGTGAAACCCTGTCTCTGCTAAAAATACAAAAATTAGCCGGGCAAGGTGGCGCACGGCTGTAATACCAGCTACTTGGGAGGCTGAGGCAGGAGAATCACTTGAACCTGGGAGGCGGAGGCTGCAGTGAGCTGAGATCACCCCACTGCACTCCAGCCTAGGCGACAGAGCGAGACTCCATCTCGGAAAAGGAAAAAAAAAAAAAAGAATCCTGGGTTTTTTTAAGCCCCAGGTGTTTGGGGAACTGGAGTTTGAAGGATCCCAAGTATCTGGTCCAGGGATTTTTTGGAGTCCCCGAGTGCCAGGGTCCTGGGGTTTTACGCTCCCTGGTTCTTAGGGCACAGGTGTCTTAGGGTCTCCAGATAACAGGGTCTCAGGGAACTGATGTTAAGATTCCCCAGATTACAGGGTTCCGGGTCTTGAGGTTTCAAGGTTGTAACGTCTCAAGGTGTCTGGGTCCCAGAGCTTTGGGTGTACCAAATATCATGGTTAAAGGATTTGGGAGGCCTCTGATGTCGGTGTCAGGGAGGGCGGTGTGTGTGTGCGTGTGTGTGTGTGTGTGTGTGTGTGTGTGTGTGTGTGTAAGGGGGTGAGGGTCTTAGGATCCTGGAGTTGGAGCCCTGAATGTCAGGATCCCGGGTTTTAAGGTTCCCGGGAAACGGGGTCCTGGGCTTTAGAGTCCCGGATGTGGGCTTCGGGGGTGGGCGGGGGCTCTGTCCTTACGTGCCGGCCTGGCGCAGCGAATGGATGAGGATTCGGTCCGCCTCCTCCATGGTGGAGCCGTGTCGGAGTCGGGGGCTGGGTCCAGGACCGGGTCCGAGAAAGTGGGGAGCAGCTGTAGAAACCCTGCTCCGTGCTCGCGGTCCACAGAGTGTCACGGGTCGTGTGGGGAGAGTTGGAAAGTGTAGTTCTGTGAGCGAGCACGGCGCATGCCGGATGTGAGGCCTGGGGTGAGTGTGCACGGAGGTTGAGCTTGCAATAGCTGCTGGGAACTGTAGTTCTTCCACCTGCAGTCCAGTGGGCTCTTCCAAGGGAAAAAGGAACAACCCGTGTGGTGGGGAGTGGAGGGGCCGGACAGAAAGGGGCTTCCTGACTCATTCGTTTAAGGCGGCATTCATCTTCTAGGCTATAAAAGTGTACACATTAAGGGCAGAATTTTAACACAAAGCGACTACTTCCCTGTGTCTTAGTCTCCTCATCTGTAAAATGGGACTATTGACAGTACCTGCTTTTTAGGATTAAAACAGAATTAATTTATATAAAGCACGTTGTACTATGTGCCTGACACATAAGATAAGAAAGCACTATGTAAGTTATAGTTACTAGTGTCCATGCATTCAATAAATGCTTTAATATGATACACATTTGTACACTCCAAAGAATAATTACACAGCAAATATCTATGTAACCGGCTGGGTGCAGTGGCTCACGCCTGTAATCCCAGCACTTTGGGAGGCCGAGTCGGGTGGATCACCTGAGGTCAGGAGTTCGAGACCAGCCTGGCCAACATGGTGAAACCCCCTCTCTACTAAAATGAGAAAAATTAGCCAGGCATGGTGGCACATGCCTGTAGTCCCAGCTACTCGGGAGGCTTAGGCAGGAGAATCACTTGAACTGGGGAAGCGAAGGTGGCAGTGAGCTGAGATTGCGCCATTACACTCCAGCCTGGGCAACAGAGCGAGACTCCGTCTCTAAATAAATAAATAAAGCAAAAGAAATCTATGTAACCATTTCTTGAACAGCCGACGCGCACCTGCAATCCCAGCAGTTTTGGAGGCCAAGGCGGGAGGATCGCTTGAGGTCAGGAGTTTGAGACCGGCATGGGCAATACAGCAATACACCATCTCTTAAAAAAAAAAAAAAAATTGACACTTGTCCAAGCAGACGTCCCCAGCAGAGCCAGCCAGCATGACCGAGCGCCGCGTCCCCTTCTCGCTCCTGCGGGACCCCAGCTGGGACCCCTTCCGCGACTGGTACCCGCACAGTCGCCTCTTTGACCAGGCCTTCGGGCTGGTCGCAGTGGTTGGGCACCAGCTGCTGGCCCCGCTACGTGCGTCCCCTGCCCCCGCCGCGGTCGAGAGCCCCGCGGTGGCCGCGCCCGCCTACAGCTACGCGCTCAGCCGGCAGCTCAGCGGCGGGGTCTCGGAGAATCGGCCCACAGCGGACCGCTGGCGCGTATCCCTGGACATCAACTACTTCGCCTCCGACGAGCTGACGGTCAAGACCAAGGATGGCATGGTGGAGATCACCAGCAAGCACGAGGAGCGGCAGGACGAGCATGGCTACATCTCCCGATGCTTCACCCGGAAATACACGCTGCCCCCCGGTGTGGACCCCACCAAGGTCTCCTCCTCCCTGTCCCCTGAGGGCACACTGACCGTGGAGGCCCCCATGCCCAAGCTAGCCACGCAGTCCAACGAGATCACCTTGGAGTCACGGGCCCAGCTTGGGGGCCTAGGAGCTGCGAAATCCGACCAGTCTGCAGCCAAGTAAAAGCCTTAGCCCGGATGCCCACCCCGGCCGCCGCCACTAGCCGTGCCCCCGCACCCACCTGTGTGTTCTTTTGATAGGTTTATCTTCTGTTGTTCTCAAATAAAGTTCGAAGCAACCCAAAATTTAAAAAAAAAATAGTTGGGCATGGTAGTGCACACCTGCAGTCCCAGCTACAGAGGCTGAGGTCAGAGGATCACTTGAGCACAGGAATTCAACGCTACTGTGAGCTATGATCACGCCACTGCACTCCAGCCTGGGTGACAGAGCAAGACCCTGTCTCTAAAAATAATAATAATTGATAATATTTGATCTTTTTTCCATAGAGATATTGCACATATATTAGGTTTTTCCTACATACTTCGAATTCCATATACTACTGGAAAATGACATCGTTTTTCTTATTTTAGTTTGACTGTTTGCTGCAGGTATATATTTGGTAAATATTTCATCTGTTGCCAGGCTCTGGCCCACAAACGTCCCATTTGCACCCCCACCGCCACCCTCCCATACAACACTGTTATTGCCCCGCCCTGCGGCCTTAATCCCTCCAAAGCTGGGGGAAGAGAGGGGGGTTGTGTGCAGATGGCCCTTCAATCTCGAAAGAAAGATGTCGGAATCTGAAGGCGGGAAAGGTGAGAGAATCCTTCCATCCCTGCAGACCCTTGGAGCAAGGTAGAGCCCCTCTGACCCACCCATTGCCCACCCAGACCCCACCCCCAGAGAGCCTCTAGGGGACAAGAACCACATCACCCTGTTCCCCATCCCAGCCAGCCCCAAACAGCCTCTCTGCCACCAGAGCCCTAACGCTCAGCCTGACCCAGACACCACCCCCCATGGCCTCTCAGCCTCATCCACAGCCTTAGTTCCCAAAGGAAACCCAACCTCAATCCTGGCTCTGACCCCTATCCAAACGCCCACCTGAAACCTAACACAAACTCTACCAGCCAGAAGGCAAACCCCTGTTAGAGTCTAAACCCCACCCCAGATACAGACCTAAAGTGACCTAACCTCAACCTCAACCCCGGGATGTCAATACTGTTAGTGATTGCAGTCTCTGACTTTCCAGAAAGTGCACAGACCCTTTAAAAAAAAAAACAAAAACAAAAGAGAGAAAGAGAGAGAAGACATACTTGATGGTGGTAGTAAGCCATGAGGGCTCTAGAGTTAGACTGAGTGTGACTCCCCATTCAGCCACTTCAGCAAGTCACTTAACTTTTTCTTCTCAATTTTCTCATCTGCAAAATGGGAATAACTCTATGTGCCAGGCATTCTTTTGATTCTGAACTCATTTAATCCTCATAACACCGCTATATTTTAGGTACTGTTATTATCATCCTTATTATACAGATAAGGAAACTGAGGCTCAAAGAGATTACATAATTTGCCCAAGGCAACACATAGCTACCAAGTGGTAAAGTCAGGATTTAAACTCAGGCAGCTTGTTTCATCCAAAGCTGGGAATCTTAACCAGGCCAATCTACCGCCCTCTGAGGCTGAAACGAGACCATGGGAACTGGGAGTGGCCTTAGCTGAAAACCCCAATGCAAAATTCAAGTCCCACTCAAAACTCAACTTCGACCCTAACCTGTATCCTAATTCTAATTCCAATTCAAAATACCCAGTCCTAACCCTTAGACAAAACTCCACTCCTACCTATGTCTAAACCCATCCCCACCCTAACCCAAAACCCACCACTCAAATTTAACCTTAAATTCGCCCACCCCATGGCAATTTAAACTCTACCCCCAACTTAAACACCAAACCCTACTTCACTTGGAAATGTAATCTCACCTTCACTCCCCTATAAACTCTCACTCTAATCTTAATTCGAACACTCTTACTTCCCAGTCCTTAACCCAGCTACTCCCAGTTCTCCCTAATTTTCCATGCTCTTCTCTCCTTCCTTCAAACAGAGGGACAGGATCAGGTAGGAAGCAGCCACAATTGCCCCAATACCCTGTCCCTCCCTGACACAGTTTCTCCATATAGACACCACCCCAGAGCCCAGTCCAGCCAATGGGGCAGGCCCTGGTCCCGAATGGGGGCTGTGCCCCGGGCCCCCAGCTGTGGAAGGTGAAAGCAGTGGGGCATCAGGCCTAGGGACCCCTAAGCGAAGAAACCAGCACAGCAAGCACAAGACAGTGGCAGTGGCCAGTGCCCAGCGGTCACCTCGGGCACTCTTCTGCCTCACCCTGGCCAATCCTCTGCGACGGTCCTGCATCAGCATCGTGGAGTGGAAGCATCCTGGAAGGCAGGGGCAGGGCCCAGGGGTAAGGGTCATCAGGGTACCAGGAGTAAAGAATTGGGTCAGGGCTGGAACAGAGGAGGGCTGAGATCATCAAGGTCAAGAGTCAAGAACTGGGTTGGGGGGCAGGTTCAGAAAGGCAAAGGTCACCAGGGTTCAAGAGTCAAGGACTGAATCACAGCAAGAGTTGGGGATGGTTAAGGTTTCCAGGAGGGACAAAGTCAAGGCCTTGTCAGGGCAGGGGTCGAGAATGCCAGGACCTGTCACCTTGGGCGTCAAGGGTCAGCACTGGGTGGGAGGTTCCCAAGGGAGTAGGGGGGTTCCAATGCCACTCTGCCAGGGTCCTTGACTGTGTCCACCTGAGGCCCTTCGACATCCTCATCCTGCTGACCATCTTTGCCAACTGCGTGGCCCTGGGAGTTTACATCCCCTTCCCTGAGGACGACTCCAACACTGCCAACCACAACCTGGTAAGGCCCGCCCCGCCCCAGCCAGTTCCCAGCCAAATAGAGCCCCAGTAGAGCTCACTCCTTCCAGCCAGACCCCGCCCCCTCTCTGACCCGGATGGCCCTGCCTGGCTCAGCCCCACCCTCGGTCCTGACTATGCTCCCCACGCCCCCGTCAAACCTCGCCTTCAAATAACTCCTCGACTTCCCGACCCGCCCCCCGGTCCCACCCCCAGGAGCAGGTGGAGTACGTATTCCTGGTGATTTTCACTGTGGAGACGGTGCTCAAGATCGTGGCCTACGGGCTGGTGCTCCACCCCAGCGCCTACATCCGCAATGGCTGGAACCTACTCGACTTCATCATCGTCGTGGTCGGGTGCGCGTCTGCGGGAGGCACCCCACCCTAGTCGCCTTCCTACCGTCAGGCCCGCTGAATTCTGGGCTCAGGAAAGCGACTCTTTCAGACCGCCCCCATTCGGCAGCCAGAATCAGGAATATTATTAAAACCCATTTCTATTTCTAGTTACAGGGACTTGTGCTTTTCTGAGAAGGTTAGGGTGGAGGGGGGAATCCCAAGGCCTGACCTCCGCCTCCCTGCCCGGTGCTCCCCCATCAGGCTGTTCAGCGTTCTGCTGGAGCAGGGCCCCGGACGGCCAGGCGACGCCCCGCACACCGGGGGAAAGCCAGGAGGCTTCGATGTGAAGGCATTGAGGGCGTTTCGGGTGCTGCGGCCACTGAGGCTGGTGTCTGGGGTCCCGAGTGAGTGGCACATCCCCCGAGGTCGGAGGTGGAGGGTGGGGGTGGGGCTGAGCTGACCCCGCCCTTATTTCTGCCTCCCCCTCCCTCCCCGCAGGCCTGCACATAGTGCTCAATTCCATCATGAAGGCTCTGGTGCCGCTGCTGCACATTGCACTGCTCGTGCTCTTCGTCATCATCATTTATGCCATCATTGGGCTCGAGCTGTTCCTTGGACGAATGCACAAGACGTGCTACTTCCTGGGATCCGGTTAGTCTGCCCGCCCCTCCTAGGCAGAACATGCCCCCTCCTTCGGTTCCTAGATCCAATGCTGCACTCAGGGAAACCCACTGAAATGCACAAGATTCGGCCCCCAGGCTCAGGTTCCATCCCCAGATAACCAAGTCCCACCCATATATTCAAGACTCTGCCCTAAATCAGACTACAACCCCACCTCGCTAATAGCTCCGCCCCATCACGAGACTGTACCCACAGGCTAAGGTCCTGCCCCGCACTTAAGACTTAAGTGCAAGTGCCCCGCACTTAAGACAAGACTCTGCGCCTGTAATCCCAGCACTTTGGGAGGCCGAGGCGGGCGGATCACGAGGTCAGGAGATCGAGACCATCCTGGCTAACACGGTGAAACCCTGCCTCTACTAAAAAAATACAAAAAATTAGCTGGGCATGGTGGCGGGCGCCTGTAGTCCCAGCTACTCGGGAGGCTGAGGCAGGAGAATGGCGTGAACCTGAGGCTGAGGCAGGAGAATGGCGTGAACCCAGGAGGCGGAGCTTGCAGTGAGCCGAGATGCGCCACTGCACTCCAGCCTGGGCGACAGAGCGAGACTCCGTCTCAAAAACAAAACAAAACAAAACAAAAACTCTGCGCCTTGGCTTACACCTGTATTCCCGGCATTTGGGAGGCCGAGGCGGGAGGATCACTTACGCCCAGGAGTTTGCTACCAGCCTGTGCAAAATAGTGAGATCCAGTCTCCAAAAAATAATAACAAAAACAATTTTAAAAAACTTTATCCTCGGCTGGGCGCCGTGGTTCACGCCTGTAATCCCAGCACTTTGGGAGGCCGAGGCAGATGGATCACTTGAGGTCAGGAGTTCGAGACCAGCCTGGCCAACATAGTGAAACCCCATCTCTACTAAAAATACAAAGTTGAGCCGGGCGTGGTGGTGCATGTCTGTAATCCCAGCTACTCGGGAGGCTGCGGCATGAGAATCACTTGAGCCTGGGAGATGGAGGTTGCAGTGAGCTGAGATCGGATCGCACCACTCACTGCGCTCCAGCCTGGGCGACAGAGTGAGACTCGGTCTCAAAAACAAAACAAAAACAAACCAAAAAAAAGCTTTATTCTCCACGACTGTTCTCATACACTCAGACCATTTACCCAGACTCCCGCCCATGCCTTGCCCCTCCCCTATTTTCAAGAGACGCGTCCAAATTCACAAGACTCCGCCCCCAGGCTCTTGCCTCATTGTTATTTACAAGACTCCACGCCAGGATTTAAATCCCGGTTGGTGGGATCCCTAGCTTCCCAGTGGTTCAGAATACGGAGCTCGCAGGGTTCTGCCCTAGAAGTGGAGCTAAGTGTTGCCTTAGAAAAATCTAGGACTGGCCGGGCACGGTGGCTCACGCCTGTAATCCCAGCACTTTGGGAGGCCGAGGCGGGCGGATCACAAGGTCAGGAGTTCGAGACCAACCTGACCAATATGGTGAAACCCCCGTCTCTACTAAAAATACAAAAAAAATTAGCCGGGCGTTGTGGCACACGCCGGTAATCCCAGCTACTCAGGAGGCTGAGGCAGGAGAATTGCTTGAACCCGGGAGGCGGAAGTTGTGGTGAGCCGAGATCGTGCCACTGCACTCCAGCCTGGGCGACAGAGGGAGACCCCGTCTCAAAAAAAGAAAGAAAGAAAGAGAGAAAGAGAAAAATCTAGGACCCAAGTCGAGCTTCCTAAGTGGGCGGGGCTTCAGGGTGGCAGCGACTGAGAGTGGGCCTGCTTCGAAGCCCCAAGCTCCAGTCTTCCTGCAGACATGGAAGCGGAGGAGGACCCATCGCCCTGTGCGTCTTCGGGATCAGGGCGTGCGTGCACGCTGAACCAGACTGAGTGCCGCGGGCGCTGGCCAGGGCCCAATGGAGGCATCACCAACTTTGACAACTTCTTCTTCGCCATGCTGACAGTCTTCCAGTGTGTCACCATGGAAGGCTGGACCGATGTGCTCTACTGGGTGAGGTGGACTGTGGGCACAGAGCTCAAAGGCTGCACCTGCCTTTCCTCCCTGACACTCACGCAGGAGTGTCTGCCTACCCTGAGGGATGCATGCCTTTTCTCTCCCCAGATGCAAGATGCCATGGGGTATGAACTGCCCTGGGTGTACTTTGTGAGCCTTGTCATCTTTGGGTCCTTCTTCGTCCTCAACCTTGTGCTTGGCGTCCTGAGTGGGTGAGAGACCTAGACACTCCCTGCTTCCCACCCCTCAGCCACTGCCCACTTCTTTGTGCCTGGCAAACTCCTAGACATCCTTCAAAACCCATCTGAAATACTCCTTCATTCAATCATGAGCATCTATTGTATGTGAGGCACCATTTTAGGAGTGGAACAAAAGACAAAAATCTCTGCCTTCCTGGTTTTACATTCTGATGGGGAGAGACAGAAAGTAGCAACATATGCAATAAAATAAGTGTGTGCATTTATATATTGGCACACACATATATATAGTGTTTTATATGGAATATGTACTGTGGAAAGAAAGGAAAGATAAAAGATAAGAATGGAGAGATCTTGTGATTATAAATAGGGATGTCAGGAAAGGCTGTCTTGACAAGGTGTTATTTGAGTAAAAATGTGAAAGAGGCCAGGTGCAGTGGCTCATGCCTGTAATCCCAGCACTATGGGAGGCCAAGGCAGGAGGATGGCTTGAGGTCAGGAGTTCGAGACCAGCCTGGGCAACATAGTGAGACTTCATCTTTACAAAAAATGAACAAAAATAGCTGGGCATGGTGGCGCACACCTGTAGTCCTAGCTACTCAGGAAGCTGAGGTGGAAGGATCGCTTGAGCCCAGGAGGTCGAGGCTGCGGTGAGCTATGATCACACCACTGCACTCCACCCTGAGTGATAGAGTGAGACCCTGTATCTGGGGAAAAGAAAAAAAAAGAGATGAGGTGGGTGCACCATGTGGTTATCTGAGGGAAAAGCATTCCAAGCAAAGAGAATGGTCAGTGCAAAGGCCCTGAGGCTAGAATGTGCTTGGCATATTCAAAGAGTAGCTAGGAGGCTAGTGTGGCTGGAGTGATGAAAGCAAGGTGTTCAGATTGGCTCCTCCCCCTAGCCCTCTATCCTCCTCCCTCAGGGAGTTCTCCAAGGAGAGAGAGAAAGCGAAAGCTCGCGGGGACTTCCAGAAGCAGCGGGAGAAGCAGCAGATGGAGGAAGACCTGCGGGGCTACCTGGACTGGATCACTCAAGCCGAAGAGCTGGACATGGAGGACCCCTCCGCCGATGACAACCTTGGTTCTATGGCTGAAGAGGGCCGGGCGGGCCATCGTAGGCAACTCCAATCTGGCCCATTCCCTGCATGCCTTAGATGTGGTCTGCCCTCCTGAGACCCACCCAGGCCTGATCTGCAACAACTCTAGCCCCAGCCCCCAAGTTATGGCTCAAAATGCAGAATCAAGACCAGCCTCAGCTATAAAGACTCCAAATGACACCCCTACCCTAGACATGGCCCTAACCCTGCCCCCAGTATGTCCTCCCTAATTGTCCTTTCTCTCCCTGCAGGGCCACAGCTGGCCGAGCTGACCAATAGGAGGCGTGGACGTCTGCGCTGGTTCAGTCATTCTACTCGCTCCACACACTCCACCAGCAGCCATGGTGGGGGTCCAGCCAGGCTGGGGTGGGGGTGGGTAGGCAGAGGTGAAAGCCAAAGATTGGACCTCGGGGTCTTCAGGTCCTGACCACTATCCCCACCTTGCCTACAGCCAGCCTCCCAGCCAGTGACACCGGTTCCATGACAGAGACCCAAGGCGATGAGGATGAGGAGGAGGGGGCTCTGGCCAGCTGTACACGCTGCCTGTGAGGGCCCCCAGCCCCTGACCCAGCCCAGAAGCCAGTCCAAACCCTGACTCAAGTCCTTTCTTTAGCCTCAAGCCTCGATCTCAGTCCTTGACCTCTGGCCCCAGTCACTGACACCCCTTCTGCCCTTTACGACACACACCTCCCATCCCCCTTCTTTTTCAGAAACAAGATCATGAAAACCAGAGTCTGGTGAGTTGGGAAAGTTGTGCAAATCCTTGACTCCATAACTTTGAAACCCCCCACCTCCAAGCCCTCATGACCTTTGGATCCCCCACCTGAGCCCCCCAGGGCAGGCTTAGGTAGGTGATCTCAGCCTGTGGGCTCCCCTTCCCCCAGCCGCCGCCTCCGCCGAGCCAACCGGGTCCTTCGGGCACGCTGCCGTCGGGCAGTGAAGTCCAATGCCTGCTACTGGGCTGTGCTGTTGCTCGTCTTCCTCAACACGTTGACCATCGCCTCTGAGCACCACGGGCAGCCTGTGTGGCTCACCCAGATCCAGGGTACACCCCCAGCCTGCTAGTCGTCTCCCCCAGCCTCCTATTCCTTCTACCCCAGAAGCTTAAATCCAAAACCTCTAGGGCGCCTCAGCCCCCAAGACACTGCCTTCCCCCCTACCCAAATAAATCCAGAGCCCTTAGCCTGTCCCATCCCACCTTGTAGCTTACACAGGTAGCACTTGCTGTGTGCCTCAAGCTCCTTTCTCAGCACCTTTCTTTATGTGTACTGACAATTTCTTCACCACAACCTTATGCGAATTAAATACTAAGGCACAGAACACTGAGCATCAAGGCACTGAGGGGTTAAGCGACTAATCTCGGGACCCAGCTAGCGAGTGGCAGAGCCAGAATTAGAACCCAGGCAGCCTGGCTCCAGAATCCAGGCTCTTATCATCACACTGTCTGGAAAAGTTCTCCACATCTACAAAATGGAGATGATAGATAGTAGTATCCACTTCATGAAGCAGCGAAGAGGAGTAAATGATGTAAAGTGAAAAGTGCTTAGGACATTGTATGGCCCACCATATAGCTAACACTTTATAAGTGTCAGCTCTTACTATTATTCATTATAATCTCAGCCCCAGCCTGAATACCGAGCACATTTCTAACCCATAACCCACAAACCAGCCCCAGTCCCGAAGAAACCCTAGACTCTAACTCTACTTGTGAATTTGGGTCTTCTGGACTCATAGACACTGACTCTGGCCCCCACCCCGACTCTGCCCCTCATCCCCATCTCCAAGCCCCTCAAAACTTCACCTACTCTGACCTACAAACTCACCCCAATCCCTAGCCCTAAGCCTTCCCTCAGCCAGCACCTGGCCTGATACCAGCTACCGTGGGTCACCCCATGGTCCCTAGTTACCTCCCCACATGTCACCACAGAAACTGGCCAGCCCGATCATCCCTGCCTCTCTCCCCACAGAGTATGCCAACAAAGTGTTGCTCTGTCTGTTCACGGTGGAGATGCTTCTCAAATTGTACGGTCTGGGCCCCTCTGCCTATGTGTCTTCCTTCTTCAACCGCTTTGACTGCTTTGTGGTCTGTGGGGGCATCCTAGAGACCACCTTGGTGGAGGTGGGTGCCATGCAGCCCTTGGGCATCTCAGTGCTCCGATGTGTGCGCCTCCTCAGGATCTTTAAGGTCACCAGGTTTGTATTAGGGGAGGGGGAAGACAAGGGCCTCAAACACAGCCTCAACACCCCCACCCAAGCTCCAATGATAACTTCATCTGCTTCACCATTCATTGAGCAGACATCCATTGAGTGCCTGCTGTGTGCCAGGCACCCTACCAAGCCCTAGGGAAACACCAGGAATCAAAGCAGACACAAGTTCCTGTCTTCATCCACTGGGGAGAATGTCTACTCCATTTCCATTGCCTTCCTCAACCTCAACTCCTGCTCTAACGTTTTTCCCCAACCCTGTCTCCGATTTCAATGCCATACTATTCCCAGCCCAAACCCCATCCCAACCCCCAACCACAATACCATCTCTGATCCCAACCCCCAACCACAGGTCACCTATGAGCCCATTTACAACGCTAACACCCATTCCCAAGCCCAACTCCATCTCCCACCTCATCCCTAACTCCCAGCCCCATCCCTGTCACTAACCACCAACCATAATACCATCCTCAATCCCCAAAGAGAACTCCCACGTCCCTAACCCTTAACCATCACCCTATCTTCAACTGCAACTCCATTTCCAGCCTCAGCCCCAGTCTCATCCCATCCCCTCCTCTATCCCAGCCCTCAACCACAACTTACCCTTAACTCCATCTCCAACCCCAAATACATCACAACCCCATCCCCAACACCAGGCCCAGTCCCAAGCTGAAACCCAATTCTAGCTTCACCAACTTCCATTAAACCTCCATCCTAGGCTGGATGCGGTGGCTCACGCCTGTAATCCCAGCACTTTGGGAGGCTGAGGCGGGTGGATCACAAGGTCAGGAGTTCAAGACCAGCCTGGCCAATGTAGTGAAACCCCGTCTCTACTAAAAATACAAAAAAATTAGCCGGGAGTGGTGGCAAGTGACTGTAGTCCCAGCTACTCGGGAGGCTGAGGCAGGAGAATCGCTTGAACCTGGAAGGTGGAGGTTGCAGTGAGACGAGATTGTGCCACTGCACTCCAGCTTGGGCAACACAGTGAGACTTCATCTCAAAAAAAAAAAAAAAGATAAGAAAAAAAAAAACTCCATCCTAACCTCATCTCCCAGTCTCCCATTATACCCCTACCACCAACCCTAACCCCAAACTCTCAACTTTCCCCTACCTCTTTACTTCTTCTTCTTTTTTTTTTTTTTTTTTTTTTTTTGAGACAGAGTCTCTGTCTATCGCCCAGGCTGGAGTGCAGTGCAATCCTGGCTCACTGCAAGCTCCGCCTCCTGGGTTCACGCCATTCTTCTGCCTCAGCCTCCTGAGTAGCTGGGACTACAGGCACCTGCCACCATGCCTGGCTAATTTTTTTTTAGTAGAGACGGGGTTTCACCGTGTTAGCCAGGATGGTCTCAGTCTCCTGACCTCATGACCCACACGCCTTGGCCTCCCAAAGTGCTGGGATTACAGGCGTGAGCCACCACAGGGCCCAGCTTCCCCCACTTCTTACTCTCATCTCACCCCAACTCCAAAATCATTTCTAACCCTGACACCAAAGCCTATTTGAGCCCAACCTGCCGAGGTGCATCTCAAGCTGGAGCCCTGCCCTGGCTCCTGATGCTCCAGCCATGTCCAGTGGACATGGCATCGACCCTGCCCCCTCCCATTTCTGCTGCAGACACTGGGCTTCTCTGAGCAATCTGGTGGCATCCCTGCTCAATTCAATGAAATCCATCGCATCCTTGCTGCTTCTCCTCTTCCTCTTCATCATTATCTTCTCCCTGCTTGGCATGCAGCTGTTTGGGGGCAAGTTCAACTTTGACCAGACCCACACCAAGCGAAGCACCTTTGACACGTTCCCCCAGGCCCTCCTCACTGTCTTTCAGGTAGGATCTGGAGACCATGGGATGGGTGGGTCGGGGAGACCCTGGAGTTGGAGGGGGTCCAAGAGCTCCACAGTGACTTCCCACCCCCAGATCCTGACAGGTGAGGACTGGAACGTGGTCATGTATGATGGTATCATGGCATATGGTGGCCCCTTCTTCCCAGGAATGTTGGTGTGCATCTATTTCATCATTCTCTTCATCTGTGGCAACTGTATCCTTGGAGCTTTGTGGGGCTGGATGATGGTGGAGTCGGGGTGGGTAAGGGGAACTGGGTGGTCTATAGGCAGGGTGCTTCTCCATCCTTTGCAGCCTAAGCTCATCCCAGACATCCTGTTGAACGTGTTTCTTGCCATTGCTGTGGACAACCTGGCCAGTGGAGATGCAGGCACTGCCAAGGACAAGGGCGGGTGAGATCTGGCTCCACCCCTAACACAGTCTCTCTCTGGGATCCCTGACTGGGAACCCCTCAGACACCCCCACCACCAGAGATGCCTCTAGTCACCCTGGTAATCCCCATCTCCAGATACCATCTGCCAGTCCTCATTCATTCAACATGCATCTATTGACTGCCTACTGTGTGCCAGGTCCTGTTCTAGATGCTGAGGAGACAACAGGGGTCAAGGCAGACAAGAGTCCTTGCCTTCATGGAACTAACATTCTAGTTGAGGAAGGCAAGAAAAATAAAACAAATGAATATATAATATATGTTAATAATATGTAATAAAGAGAAAACAGAATGAAAGGATAGCAAGAAATGAAGATTGCTCTTTGGGGTTAAGGTCAGCAAGGAAGGTCTCTGTGAGGAAGTGACATTTCACCAGAGACCTGAATGAAGTGAGGGAGTGAGCCATGCAAATATCTGGGGGAAGAGTATTCAAGGAAGGGGAGTGGCAAGTGCAAAGCTTCTGGGGCGCTAATGTTCTTAGCACTTTTTTTTTTTATTCTGATATGGAGTTTCACTCTTGTCATCCAGGCTGGAGTGCAGTGGTGCTATCTCAGCTCACTGCAACCTCCGCCACCCAGGTTCAAGCAATTCTCCTGCCTCAACCTCCTGAGTAGCTGGGATTACAGACGTACACCACCACGCTCAGCTAAATTTTTTTGTATTTTTAGTAGAGATGGGGTTTCACCATGTTGGCAAGGCTGGTCTTGAACTCCTAACCTCAGGTGATCCACCCGCCTCAGCCTCCCAAAGTGCTGAGATTACAGGCGTGAGCCACCGCACCTGACCACATTCTTAGCACTTTCAAAAAATACCAGCGATGCCCGGGAGCAGTGGCTCACGCCTGTAATCCCAGCACTTTGGGAGGCCGAGGAGGGTGGATCACCTGAGCTTAGGAGTTCGAGGCCAGCCTGGCCAATATGGTGAAACCCTGTCTCTACTAAAAATACAAAAGAAAATTAGCTGGACAAGCTCGCTTGAACCCAGGAGGCGGAGGTTGCAGTGAGCCAATATCGCACCACTGCCCTCTAGCCTGAGCAATAGAGTGAGACTCCGTCTCAAAAAAATAAAAACAGTGAGGCTGGAATGGAGTGAGGAAGGAGGAGAGTGGTATGGAGTGAAGGTCAGTGGAGGAAATGGAGGGCCAGATTGAGGGCATTCTGGGCCAGGGTGAGGACTGTAGTTTTTCCTGAATTAAGGAGACGTGGGAGGGTTGTGGGCAGAGTTGGGATATCCCAGACAGGGTTTAACAGGCTCCCTCTGGCTGCTTTGAGAACGGACTGTTGGGAGGGGCAGTGGGGAAGAGCGGAAGCAAGAAAGTTCTATGGGACCCAAGAAAGGTCTGTTCTGACTGTAGTGATCTCCCTTAGCCCATCTGCAGCAATCACCCCTATTTCCTCGCACAGGGAGAAGAGCAATGAGAAGGATCTCCCACAGGAGAATGAAGGCCTGGTGAGTTAGATGCCTGGGCACTGTCTACACCTCCCACTCCCACCACTACCTGTCTATGTGTGCATATCTGTTTTTTTGTTGTTGTTGTTTTATTTTGAGATAGAGTCTCACTCTGTCGCCCAGGCTGGAGTGCAGTTGTGCCATCTCGGCTCACTGCAACCTCTGCCTCCTGGGTCCAAGAGATTCTCCTGCCTCAGCCTCCCAAGTAGCTGGGATTTACAGGCATGCGCCACCACACTCGGCTAATTTTTGTTATTTTTGAAAGAGACAGGGTTTCACCATGTTGGCCAGGCTGGTCTCGAACTCCTGACCTCAAGTGATCCACCTGCCTCAGCCTCCCAAAGTGCTGGGATTACAGGCATGAGCCACTGCGCCCAGCCATATGTGCATGTCTTTAACCTTCATCCTCTGCCTATTCTTTCCCCTATTATTACATTTCTTCCATGCCTCCCCTGTGTCCATTCCCTGTGTCTCCCTCACCATTGATGACTCCCGTCTTCCTGTCCTCAGGTGCCTGGTGTGGAGAAAGAGGAAGAGGAGGGTGCAAGGAGGGAAGGAGCAGGCAAGTGGGCAGGGCCAGGTGGAGCAGGTGTGGGACCTTGGGGAAAGAGCTCAGGCAGACAGCTCCTGACCCCTGAGACCCTCCTCTCCAGAGATCAGCCTTTTCCAAGATCATCCTGAAAATAACAGACTTGGTATGTGGTCAGCAACATTTGGGAACATTGAGGTTAAAGAAGGGAAATGCAGCCTGGGCAACATAGCAAGACCCCATCTCTAAAAAAGAAATTAATTAGCCAAGCATGATGATGCAAGCCTGTAGTCCCAGCTACTCAGGAGGCTAAGGTAGGAGGATTGCTTGAGCCCAGAAGTTCAAGGTTGCAGTGAGCCATGATGGCACCACTGAAGTCCAGCCTGGGGGAGCAGAGTAAGACCCTATCTTTAAAGAAAAACAAGAAGAAGAGAAACACGTTTTGTTTACTGCTGAACTTCTCAGAGCCTTTATTATAAAATAGTCTGTATATACAACATTCTTTCAACACACATTTACTGAGCTCCTACTGTGTCCCAGGCACTGTTCTAAGTGCTGTGGACATAGCAGCATACAAAACAGACTAAAATACCTTCCTGGAGGAGCTGACATTCTAGCAGGGAAATGGGAAGAATTGACCACGTGGCAAACACTGTTCTGGGTGCTTTACATCAACTTGCTCAATTAATTTTTTTTTGCTTTTCTCTGGTGCCAGACATGGAGGAGGAGGAGGAGGAGGAAGAAGAGGAAGAAGAGGAAGAAGAGGAAGAGGGTGCAGGGGGTGTGGAACTCCTGCAGGAAGTTGTACCCAAGGAGAAGGTGGTACCCATCCCTGAGGGCAGCGCCTTCTTCTGCCTCAGCCAAACCAACCCGTGAGTGCCGGAAGTGGCAGGGGGTGAGGCAGGAGGGGCTAGGGCAGGTGGAGGAGCATGGAGGAGCAGCCAAGGTGGGAGTGGGGGCATGGGTGTTGTGTCAGGGCCAGAACTGTATCCCTTGGAATCCCTGAACAATTCTGTGGTCCTGAGTTCTGACCATGGCCCACTCCCTCTCCACAGGCTGAGGAAGGGCTGCCACACCCTCATCCACCATCATGTCTTCACCAATCTTATCCTGGTGTTCATCATCCTCAGCAGTGTGTCCCTGGCCGCTGAGGACCCCATCCGAGCCCACTCCTTCCGCAACCATGTGAGCCTTTGGCTGGGAGCTAGGAGCTGAGGGGACACTCCCAGGGGTGTCCTAGTGGGCACAAGCTGGGTCAGGGTGGAGATAAGGAGAAGAGCCCTAGGTGAGCCGAGAGAGGGGCTCATTAACGCAGCTGATGCAATGCCAGCCTTTACGGCATGTGCAACACACGGGGAAGCACCAGGGAGGAGATCAATATTTGACTGAGGAGGAAGCTGTGCTCAGAGAGGTTAAGCAGGCCAAAGGCGCCCATGTAGCTGGGTAGAGGCAGAAGGGTCCAAATTTGAACCCTAATCTTTCTGATGGCCAAGCCTTTTGAGAAGTCACCTAGGATCCCCCTCAGCCGTGACTCAGTGGCTCCCCGCTCTTTCTCACACCCCAGATTCTGGGTTACTTCGATTATGCCTTCACCTCCATTTTCACTGTGGAGATTCTACTAAAGGTGACTAATGGGACCCCAGTCCTACCCTCAGTTGCCCTGGCACTCTCCCCACCGGTTCTTGCAGCCCACCTCTCCTGTCCCCATCCCCACCTCCCCCAACCCCCACCATCCCCAGGTCTGAGTCTAGCCTCTTGTCCTGTCCCCAGATGACAGTGTTTGGGGCCTTCCTGCACCGCGGCTCCTTCTGCCGTAGCTGGTTTAATATGTTGGATCTGCTGGTGGTCAGTGTGTCCCTCATCTCCTTTGGCATCCAGTAAGTGACAGATCCCCAGCCCACCCCATTCCTCTCACAGCCAGGGCCCAGCCAGGGCCAATGCCTGAGGATTGCCCCTTCCCCAGCTCCAGCGCCATCTCGGTGGTGAAGATTCTGCGAGTACTCCGAGTACTGCGGCCCCTCCGAGCCATCAACAGGGCCAAGGGACTCAAGGTAACCCCACCCCACCCAAACCCACAGGACCCAGGCCCTGCCCTGCCCCTGGGGCCAGGATCACTGATCAAACTGACCATTTGCACGGATGCATGACCATACGGCCTGGACCTGACACATAAATACACATCTCTGACCACTAGCCATGTGGCCTGACCCATGTTCCTTCCAAGTGACCATATGTTTCTACCAGTGGCCACATTTCTCAGACCCAGCTCCCTGACAGGTGGCCACAGATCCCCACCCGGCAAACACTTATTCCTGGTGGATGCCCACACGTCTCTAGCCCATAACACTGCCTCTTGAACACATGTTGCTAACCATACATCCCTGACCCATCACCACATGTCCCCAGCCCAAGTCCCTCAGCTGCATCTATGACCAGAGTCCCTGCCCCATGACCACTGTGGCCTGTAGTGTTCAGTAGCCATATGCTTGGGTGCCCGCAGCATGTGGTGCAGTGTGTATTTGTGGCCATCCGGACCATCGGAAACATCATGATTGTCACCACACTTCTGCAATTTATGTTCGCCTGCATCGGGGTGCAGCTCTTCAAGGTGGGGCAAACACTGGAGGGAATGCCAGGCAGGGGTCTGGGCGGGAGTGTGATGAAGGGTGAACCTACTTGACAGACATCCTCTCTACAGGGGAAATTCTACACCTGCACGGACGAGGCCAAACACACCCCTCAAGAATGCAAGTGAGTGCCCAAGACCCTGCCGTCCACGGAGCTCAGGACCCCTCCCAAAGACTTTAGAGCCTCTAGATCTCACCAAGGCCCAAAGATATAGTCCCAGAATTGTCCCAAGAACTGCAGAGGCCCTCAGATCTCACCAAGTCTTCGGCGGCCCCCCGATACCTCCCCCAAATCCCTCTCCGCATTCCCCAAGTGACCTACATTCCACTCCAGACCCATTAGCAATCACCATTCCCACCCTGAGCCCCCAGCTTCCATCTTGAGACTCCTGTAGAGGGTAGTAGCTAAAAGCCTGGGCTGTGAAGTCAGACATTACGGTTCAAATCCACTTCATGAGACTTAGGTACATTTCTTAAACTTACTCAGTTCCATTTCACTCAACTGAAAAACGGGGCTAAACAGTGCCTATCTCACAAGGCTGTTGTGAAGAGTAAATGAGCTACTACATGGAAAATGTACTTTGTACAATGTAAAGTTGCTACACAGAAAACCTAGCTTGGGCCGGGCGCTGTGGCTCACGCCTGTAATCCCAGCACTTTGGGAGGCCAAGGCAGGCAGATCACCTGAGGTTGGGAGTTCGACACCAGCCTAGTCAGCATGGTGAAACCCCGTCTCCACTAAAAATACAAAAATTAGCTGGGCTTGGTGTTGTGCACCTGTAATCCCAGCTACTCGGGAAGATGAGGAGGGAGAATCGCTTGAACCCGGGAGGCGGAGGTTGCAGTGAGCCAAGATCATGCCACTGCACTCCAGCCTGGGCAGAGTCTTTTTCAAGACTCCGTCTCAAAAAAAAAGAGAGAATAGAAAAGAAGAGAAGAAAAAGAAAATCTAGTTCAGTGCCTGGCATATAGTTACTGCTAATAAACGTTGGCTATTATTCGTTTTACTTTTTCCTGGTGGGCGATGATGAGGATGATAATGGTGATGATGAAATGATGCCAACTATGTGCCAGACACTAGTCTCATTTATTGACTTGTGACATTTATTAATCCTTGTGACAAGCCAGGAAATCGATTCTGTTATTATCCTTATTTCTTAGAATGGGGAAACAGAAGCACAGAAAGGGTAAATGCGCAAGGTCACCCAGCCAGGACATGGAGGGACAGGATTTGAACCTAGAACATATTGCTCCACCACTATGTCCTGCTGCCTCCATGCTGGAGACCCCAGACCCTTTCCCCAGTTCCTCACCCCTCCTCACCCATCTAACCTGTTTGCACATCCACAGGGGCTCCTTCCTGGTATACCCAGATGGAGACGTGTCACGGCCCCTGGTCCGGGAGCGGCTCTGGGTCAACAGTGATTTCAACTTTGACAATGTCCTTTCAGCCATGATGGCCCTGTTCACTGTCTCCACCTTTGAAGGCTGGCCTGCGTGAGGGACAGGGCCCTGGGTTTATCAGGGGATGAGGCAGGGGTCTCTGCAGGATTGGGTTGGGATCTCCTGGGAATGGGTGGGAGTGTACCTTGGGGATGTGACGAAGGTCTCTCGAGACTGGATAGGGTTTTCTGGAGAGTGGTGGGTGTATCAGAGGACTGTAGAGGTGGAGTTCCCAGAAGCTGGGTGGGGGTTCTTTGGGGACTTGAGTGAGGGGTCTCCAGGAATTGGACAGCGGTTTCTAAGGGACTAGGTAGCTAGATAGAAGCCTGGAAAGGATTGGAGATGGTTTGGGGGGACAGAGTGGAGGTCTGAGGGGACTGGGATTGGTCTCTGAAGAGATGAAGCAGGGATTCAGCGATTTCTAGAAAGCTGTGCAGGTCTTTGGGATACTCATTGTGGGGCTCTGTGGGGAGATGGAGTGGGGATTCAAGTTGATGGGACAGGGATAAATTTACAGATCGTTGGGGGCTTGTGTGGAAGTTCTGGGGAGGCGCATGGGGGTCTCCAAGTGGTTGGAGAAGGGGATTTGAAGGTCTGTGGAAACTTAGGGGATTTCTGGGTCTTTGAGGTTCTGAATGGAGATTCTCTGGAGGACTCTATGGGGGTTTCTGAGGGCATGGGACAGAGGATTTGGACTCTTTGAGGGCCTGGTAGAGGTCTCTTAGAGTATGTATGGAGGTCCCAGGTGGTTAGGTCAGGAGATTTAGGGGTCTTTGGGGTGCCAGGCAGGAAACTCTGGGGTGTCTGTGATAAGTAGACTGGGGGCAGGTCTGAGGGGGCTGGGATATCCCCTCACCTGCCCCCACCTCTACCCCCCCTCTGGCTCCCACAGACTGCTATACAAGGCCATCGATGCATATGCAGAGGACCACGGCCCCATCTATAATTACCGTGTGGAGATCTCAGTGTTCTTCATTGTCTACATCATCATCATTGCGTTCTTCATGATGAACATCTTCGTGGGCTTCGTCATCATCACTTTCCGTGCCCAGGGCGAGCAGGAGTACCAAAACTGTGAGCTGGACAAGAACCAGGTGACCTCTGACCCCTGACCCCCTATGGATGGTCACCAACCCTTCCCTCCTTGCCTCAGGACCCCACTGCTCACTCATGCCCTGCCCTGGTATGCAGCGTCAATGTGTGGAATATGCCCTCAAGGCCCAGCCACTCCGCCGTTACATCCCCAAGAACCCGCATCAGTATCGTGTGTGGGCCACTGTGAACTCTGCTGCCTTTGAGTACCTGATGTTCCTGCTCATCCTGCTCAACACAGTTGCCCTAGCCATGCAGGTCTGAGATCCCTGCCTGACCCCCGCCAGACTCCTGACCCTATTATCTCCACATAATCCCTTGGGAACCATTGGGAACATTTAAGGCTGCAAATAACAAACCCCCTGCCAACTAACAGCAACTTAAGCTATAAAGACATTTGCCACATTTCTTTAAGTCTATGGCCAGTACTTGTAAGTTGCATTCTGATTTCGGAGATGTAAGAATGTGGAAAAAAAAAAAAAAGTAGCCAGTGGCCATTGTAAGTTGCCATTTGTTATAAAATGCGCCCCAATTTCAGAGATTCTAAAATGTAAAAAGATGTGCCTCCTGGAGTCAATGAACTGTGGTAATTACCTCATGTATTGAGAAGTGCAGAGGTAGGCTGTTTGTTCATTGTTCATCCGGGACCCATGCTCTATCTTTCTGCTTCACCATTCTTAGCAAGTTGGCATTCATTTTCATGATTGTTGTTTCATGATCACAGCTCCAGGCATCAAAACCACACTCAAGGCAGGGAGAGCTGCACCTGGGGCCTCTCCTTATTTGATCCTTTCATCGGAAAGCAAAATTTTTTTTACACAAGCTGCTAACCAACAGCAGATTTATGTTTATGTCTCACTAGTCAACCTGGCCTTGCCTAACTACAAGAAAAGCTAGTAATCAAGAACTAAACTTTCCAGTATCCATAATGGGAGGCAGACAGTGCAAGAGGTTTGACCAATACACAGTGCAATCAAGTCCCCAGACTCGTCTCAGCCCAGGCCAGGGAATATTTGGTTGGGTGTGGCGGCATCTCTGCCTCAGGCTCCATCTCAACCTGATTTTCTCCTGCAGCACTATGAGCAGACTGCTCCCTTCAACTATGCCATGGACATCCTCAACATGGTCTTCACTGGCCTCTTCACTATTGAGATGGTGCTCAAAATCATCGCCTTCAAGCCCAAGGTGGCCCCCCTTCTCTAGCCCCACCCACCAGTGGATGAATTCCTTGGGAGTGGAGCTCATTGCAGAGCTCTGGGGTTGGCGATGCGGGCAGCAGCCAGGGAGTGTGAGTCTAGGGAGTGAGAGGGACTCAGGTGCAGGCCCATCGTGTGATCCAAGCGAAGCCCTGCCCCCCTCCGGCGCCCCCTACTACTACTGGCCCCCTACCCTGGCTTGCGAGCTTTGAGAAGACAGGGCACTGCTTTTCTCCTACTTGCAGCATTACTTCACTGATGCCTGGAACACGTTTGACGCTCTTATTGTGGTGGGCAGCATAGTGGATATTGCCGTCACTGAAGTCAATGTGAGAACTGGCCTTTCCACTAATCCACTCTCGCCCTATACACCTTCCCTCACCTCTATCCCGGGGTTCCCTTTCACGTGGGTGGGTGGCTCCCACGCACATCCTCCCTACTCCTGGAGACTCAGTCCTCATTCTAGCTCTATCTCTTCTGAGTCCCTGTTGGGTTCAGCAAAAGTCCCCCTCTACTGGCTTTCTCATTCCATTTTGTAACCTATCTACTGGCTCCACCATCTCCTGAAATGCCTCTCCTGTTATTTCTGTTATCTCTTTCATTGCCTCTACATCCCCCATCCATTGGCTCCGTCATGTTCACTGGCTCCTGCTTTGGCTCCATCTTTTCTGATGACTTCATTGGCTTCATTTCTCCACCAACTTCATCATCTCTGACACTGGCTCTTTCATGGCTCTGTCATCACCATTGACTATATCATTGGCTCCATCACCTCCATTGGGTACTACATGGTTCTGTCACCTCAACTGACAACGCTGCTGGTTCCCTATCTCCATCACTGGCTTCTCCATTGGCTTCTCCATCGGTTCTCTCATCTCCATCATCTCTATGACACCACTGGTTCCATCATTTCCTCTATTGGCTCCAATGTCTCTGATCCATCACCTCCTTTACTCTCTCCTCTCCCTTCCATTCCCATTACCCACTTTTTCCTAATCCTAATCCACTACCATATAAACTTTCCCATTGTCCCCTGTGTAATGACCCCACCATCACCCCCTATATCTGCTCCATCATATCTCACCTTGTTCATTTGGGCCTATGATGTCATCATCTCCTGTATCACCTTTTTCTTGGCCATATCTCCCTCCAGAATGGTGGCCACCTTGGCGAGGTAGCCCACCCTAATAACAGGGACTCTCTGCTTCTTTTCCCATGTCCCTCTGTCCCTCCATCCCTCCAGATTACCCTAGGGCCTGAGTGATTTGGGTACTGGGAGGGCCAAAGCATGAGATAGGGAGATAGCTGGAGTAAATGCAAACTGAGCATCCCTACTGCACCCCTCACCCCAGAGCTCTGAGGACAGCTCCCGCATTTCCATTACCTTCTTTCGCCTCTTCCGAGTTATGCGGCTGGTCAAGCTTCTCAGTAAGGGTGAAGGGATCCGCACATTGCTCTGGACATTCATCAAGTCCTTCCAGGTAATCCCCTACCCCATCCCTTTGACCATACCTCGCCCCCATTTCACACTTCTCAGCCTGCCCCTTTACCACCCTCAGAACTACATCTCCCAACATGCCATACCCATTTCCAAATTATTATTCCAATTTTCTCTTTTTTCTGGGCTCTCAGTTTCCAACACACCTCTGGTCTCACTGACCTTACTCTATCTACTTAACACTATGTTCACATTTGAGAGACACCACAGTCCTTGGCACTTTGGAGATGGACTGCATCTCCCAGTAGGCCCAGGCCAGGGAAAGCAGTGCATTCTGGGGCTTATAGTTCTTTGCCTGAGCCTGTGCATCTATTCTCTGCCCCCCTCCCCCATCCCTATAGGCCTTGCCCTATGTGGCTCTTCTCATCGCAATGATATTCTTCATCTATGCCGTCATTGGCATGCAGGCAAGTGGGGACCCTAGGAAGCATCCCTTAAGCACTCCTCTGCTGGCAGGGGATGGGTTAAGAATAGCCCCAAAGTAGGGGTGGCAGGTAGACAGACAAGCTGGACGGCCCTGGGTCAATCTACACATCTGTGAAATGAGATCAGCAGTGATGCCCTGTTTGTCAGGGTTATGAGGCTCCTTTAGGTATTAGGAGGTGTGAAATGGGTGGGGCATGGGTTCACCCCACTGACACAGCCTTGATGTGTCCACAGATGTTCGGCAAGGTGGCTCTTCAGGATGGCACACAGATAAACCGAAACAACAACTTCCAGACCTTTCCACAGGCTGTGCTGCTTCTGTTCAGGTGACATCTACTCACTCCCCTGCCACCTTATGCCCGTGGGTGCCCACCCACCCTCTCTGAGCCCCAGACTGCTTGAGCTATGGGAATAATATGGCAGCATGGGGCTCCATACAGCCCGAGATGTTTCCTGGCTATGATGTGAGGAGTCTGTTAGAGTATTCTAGCCTCAGCCATTTTCTTTCTGACTGTAAGACGCCTCCCCTTCTCAGGTCTCAGTGCCTCATCTGTAAGATGCAAACATGACTGTCGTCAACATGGCCACACTGGCTGTTAAAATATTGAAATGTTATCTGTGCCAGATGTAGCCCCTGGTGAGAAGTAGGTCATCTCCTCATTCCCCAGTCCTCCCCCAACTCCATTTACCATGACTTCATAGCCTCCCCTTCAGGATGCTACCCCTGTGTGACTCCCACCAGGTGTGCCACTGGTGAGGCATGGCAGGAGATAATGCTTGCCAGCCTTCCCGGAAATCGGTGTGATCCTGAGTCTGACTTCGGCCCTGGTGAAGAGTTTACCTGTGGTAGCAATTTTGCCATCGCCTATTTCATCAGCTTCTTCATGCTCTGTGCCTTCCTGGTGAGAACCATTTCCTCACAACCACCACCACCGTCACGGGGGCTGGCCCTGAGGGGCTCAGGGATGTGACGTGGGCAGCCCAGATCTTCATAGTGGGTGAGAGGGCTGGTCTGATGACAAGATCAACCCAGAGACTCATGACCATATAAGCCCGCCCCAGCCTCCCACCATCCGTCCATGACAGTGTTCTGCCCTTCACCTAACTGCTCCCTTGCTCACTGGCCCACAGATCATAAATCTCTTTGTGGCTGTGATCATGGACAACTTTGATTATCTCACCAGAGATTGGTCCATCCTGGGCCCCCATCACCTTGATGAATTCAAGAGGATCTGGTCTGAATATGACCCTGGGGCCAAGTATGCCCTCTATACCCTTACCTAGAATCCAGGGGACAATGTATTGCCCTACACAGTCCCCTAGCCCCCAAACCTCCGACTGCTGCATCTCATTACCCAGTCAATAGATGCCCCAAAGTTTCCACTGCCCCATCCTCTGCCCTCTCTGACTGCCCTCCAGTTCTTCCCTGGCAAGCTCTGGGGTATTGGTAGGAGGAGGTAGTGATGAGCTGGTGGGGCCTTGAGAAAGGGCTAGTGGGGGCATCGCCAATCCAGTGGTACCTCCCCAACTCCTCCAGGGGCCGCATCAAACACTTGGATGTGGTTGCCCTGCTGAGACGTATCCAGCCCCCTCTGGGATTTGGGAAGCTGTGCCCACACCGAGTGGCCTGCAAGGTCTGTGCACCTGCCCACCCCCAGGCTCCTGAGAGAACTGTCTATCACATGGCAAGGGTGGGAAGGGATCTGCCTTGGGTGGGGAGGGGTGTTTGATCGCATCCTCAGAGGTTTCTGCCCCTTGACATTCGTTCCTGCATACCCGGCATTTTCCCAGAGTGGGTTTCATGTCTCTCGTGTTTGCAGAGACTTGTGGCAATGAACATGCCCCTCAACTCAGATGGGACGGTGACATTCAACGCCACACTCTTTGCCCTGGTCCGGACATCCCTGAAGATCAAAACAGAAGGTGTAGGGGAGGGGCAGGAGTGGGATCGTTCCTGGGGAGGGTGCAAGGAGCAAACTCATTGAATCATGGGCCCCACTCCTAGCTCTGAACCCCAGAATGGGTGACAGGATTCTCCAGGCCTGTTTCCCCCCACCCCGTCCAATGGGGGCGGTGTGCATCTGCGGTAGCAGCTTGTGAAGTTCCCCCCACCCAACAGTGAGGGGGCAGCTGTGGAGGTTCTTCCTATTGGCTCATGCCCCACATCCTCCTCCAACGCAGGGAACCTGGAGCAAGCCAACCAGGAGCTGCGGATTGTCATCAAAAAGATCTGGAAGCGGATGAAACAGAAGCTGCTAGATGAGGTCATCCCCCCACCAGACGGTGAGCTATCCCCGCCCCAGTTCCCCGCGCCAGCCCCTGAATGGCAGATGATCGCTCTCCACCACAAAACCAGCGCTGGGCAGAGGGCGAGGGGAAGTCCATGCTGGTGGGTAGAGAGGCGGCGAGGTGGGCTGGGTCAGAGGGCCCCTGTGTGATCTTGCCTTCTCTCCCTTGCCCCTAGAGGAGGAGGTCACCGTGGGCAAATTCTACGCCACATTTCTGATCCAGGACTATTTCCGCAAATTCCGGCGGAGGAAAGAAAAAGGGCTACTAGGCAACGACGCCGCCCCTAGCACCTCTTCCGCCCTTCAGGTCTTCGGGGCAGGGCCTAGTGTGGATGGGCACGTGTGGCAGTGCTGTGGCTGAGGCTGACCCCCATTTTGATCTTGTGAAACCCATGTCACAGATAAGGAAACTGAGGCCCCAGGCCTCACGGAGGGCCAGGGTGGCTGAAGGACTCCTTCCCCCACCCTACCCGCCTGCAGGGGAAACAGAGGGAAAGTTCAGACCCTGAGCTGCCTGCTTACCTATTTCTCCACCCCCACAGGCTGGTCTGCGGAGCCTGCAGGACTTGGGTCCTGAGATGCGGCAGGCCCTCACCTGTGACACAGAGGAGGAGGAAGAAGAGGGGCAGGAGGGAGTGGAGGAGGAAGATGAAAAGGACTTGGAAACTAACAAAGTGGGGACAAGTTTTCACTCTCCCAGGAACTTGATTGTAAAATACTTCGTCAATCCCCTGAGTGATTTTGACACTGCTTCTGGGAAGAAGCTCCCCCAGAGAAGCCCCCTCTGCAATAGAAAAATATTTATTTGAGGCTGGGAGTGGTGGCTCATGCCTATAATCCCAGCACTTTGGGAGTCCAGGGTGGAAGGATCGCTTGAACCCTAGGGTTCAAGACCAGTCCTGGCAAAATAGTGAAACCGCCTCTCTACAAAAAAATTTAAAAATTAGCTAGGAGTGGTGGTGCAAGCCTGTAGTCCCAGCTACTTGGGAGGCTGAGGCAGGAGGATTGCTTGAACCTGGGAGGATGAGGCCACAGTGAGCTGTGATCATGCCACTGCACTCCCGCCTGGTGACAGGACAAGACCCTATCGCAAATATTTATTTATTTATTTACGTATTTATTTATTTGACATTTACCATTGCTGTTGGAGGGCAAGGCCCACATTCATGGACCTGTGGGGGAGACATGTTATATGACCAAATGACTTAGCCACAAAGTGCATGCAACACTCAGTCCTGTGACTCTCCACAGGCCACGATGGTCTCCCAGCCCTCAGCTCGCCGGGGCTCCGGGATTTCTGTGTCTCTGCCTGTCGGGGACAGACTTCCAGATTCACTCTCCTTTGGGCCCAGTGATGATGACAGGGGGACTCCCACCTCCAGTCAGCCCAGTGTGCCCCAGGCTGGATCCAACACCCACAGGTATTATCAAGTGTCTGGAAGTAGATTGTGAGGGAAGGCAAGGACTAGACACTGGATAGAGGCAATTCAGGAGGCAGGAAGTTGAGGGGGGTGGGAGGGAGGGCCTAGAGGCCTTCAAGCAGAAATTTGGGAAGAATGGAGGTGTTTCAAGGGCTCAGGTAAGAATAGAGGGTGATAAGAGATTCATATGAGAAAGGCAATACAAAGGTTTAATGCAAAAAGCACATTGTGTGAAACCAAGAGTTTCAGTTCACATTCTGCCTCTGCCATTTGCTAAGTGACCTTGAGCTAATCACTTTTTTTTTTTTTTTTTTTTTGAGACAGAGTCCCGCTCTGTCTCCCAGGCTGGAGTGCAGTGGCACAATTTCGGCTCACTGCAACCTCTGCCTCCCGGGTTCAAGCGATTCTCCTGCCTGAGCCTCCCGAGTAGCTGGGATTACAGGCGTGCGCCATAATGCCAGGCTAATTTTTTTTTTTTTTTTCAGTAGAGACGAGGTTTTGCCATGTTGGCCAGGCTGGTTTCGAACTCCTGACCTCAGGTGATCTGCCCACCTCAGCCTCCCAAAGTGCTGGGATTACAAGCTTGAGCCACCGTGCCCTGCCTAGTCACTTCGTTTCTATGAGCCTCAGTTTCCTCACCTGTTTAAGGGGGATGACAAAGCACTTACTTCACAGGGATAAAGAAAGGATGAAATGAGGTAATGCATGTCAAACACTTAGCTGCTAGACAATACATAAGCAGATTAAAGAAAAATTTTAAAAAAAAATTTCAGAGTGTCTAGCTTGCCTAGGCACGGTGGCTCACACTCGTAATCCCAGCACTTTGGGAGGCCAAGGTGGGAGGATCGCTTGAGCCCAGGAGTACAAGACCAGCCTGCACAACATAATGAGACCCCGTCCATACAAAAAATAAAAAAATAGCCGAGCATGGTGGCACATGCCTGTAGTCCCAGCTACTTGGGAGGCTGAGGTGGGAGGATAAATTGAGCCTGGGAGGTTGAGGCTGCAGTGAGCTGAGATCATGCCGCTGCACTCCAGCCTAAGTGACAGAGTAAGACCTCGTCTCAGAAAATAAAAAATAGAAATAAAAAAATAAAGTGCCTAGCTTTTACAGGCTCCCCCCACTCCTAATACATGCCCAGTTTTGTGTTCAAGGTGTCTCTCTACAGGTCAACTTTGATTTTTTTGAAACTTTCAGTCCTAATTAGATGAACATCTATTAAACAAAAGCCCATGGTCACTTTAAAATGGTTAATGGTTAATTTTATGTGACTTGTCCTCAACAAAAAAATCCAAAAGCCCAGTGTTTCTGTAAGGGTTGGGGCATGGGATGAGAGGAACCAGGGGTCCAGGGCCACATATTGAGGGATCTGGTCTGCCTAACGTGCCTCCCTTTCCCCAGGAGAGGCTCTGGGGCTCTCATTTTCACCATCCCAGAAGAAGGAAATTCTCAGCCCAAGGGAACCAAAGGGCAAAACAAGCAAGATGAGGATGAGGAAGTCCCTGATCGGTACACTGGCCATGCCACATGGGATGAACCCATGAGCTGGGGTGGAGGAGGGGTGGGAACTGGGTCGGGGAGGACTGTTTGTGCCCCATCTCCCAGGCCCAGGTCCAGGCCCAGACCCAAGTTCACCCCTGGCCCTCCCACCCACACAGGCTTTCCTACCTAGATGAGCAGGCAGGGACTCCCCCGTGCTCAGTCCTTTTGCCACCTCACAGAGCTCAGAGATACATGGATGGGCACCTGGTACCACGCCGCCGTCTGCTGCCCCCCACACCTGCAGGTGAGAGCAGGGATGGATCCAAGGGGCCCCCACGGGCCTGCAGGACAGAGATCTGGGGAAGCACTGACATTGCTATTTGCCCCTGGTGCCCCACCCACCCCCAGGTCGGAAGCCCTCCTTCACCATCCAGTGTCTGCAGCGCCAGGGCAGTTGTGAGGATTTACCCATCCCAGGCACCTATCATCGTGGGCGAAATTCAGGGCCCAATAGGGCTCAGGTGAGGCTGTGGAGGTGGTGCTGGGGTCTGGGGTCTGGAGAGATGGGGGCAGCCTAGGCTGAATTTCTCAAACACAGCACATATCAGGCCCTTTTTTTTTTTTTTTTTTTTTTTTTTTGAGACAGAGTTTTGCTCTGCTGCCCAGGCTGGAGTACAGTGTTGAGATCTTGGCTCACTGTAACCCCTGCCTCCCGGGTCCAAGCAATTCTCCTGCCTCAGCCTCCCAAGTAGCTGGGATTACAGGTGCTCACCACCATGCCTGGCTAATTTTTGCATTTTTAGTAGAGATGGGGTTTCACCATGTTGGCCGGGCTGGTCTCAAACCCCTGACCTCAGGTGATCCGCCTGTCTCAGCCTCCCAAAGTGCTGGGATTACAGGCATAAGCCACCGCGCCTGGCCTCAGAGCCTTCTGAAGAACAGGACACATATGAATGAATGCACACAATGCTCACTGTACTTGTGAGGAAACTGAGGTCCTGAGAGGTTTACCCCAGATCATGCAGCTAGTAAGTGGCAGAGCTGACATTTAAACCCAGGCCTCCTGCACTCTTACATAAATAAACTCAAGCCTGACTTATACCCATTCAATTTCACTCCAGTTGTATACTGAGGGAAAGAAGTAGGCACAGCGGTGAGTCCTAGACCCTCATACCCTACTCATCCATCCCTGCCCCTCTGATGTTTATTCTGGCTCAGGGTTCCTGGGCAACACCACCTCAGCGGGGTCGGCTCCTGTATGCCCCGCTGTTGTTGGTGGAAGAGGGCGCAGCGGGGGAGGGGTACCTCGGCAGATCCAGTGGCCCACTGCGCACCTTCACCTGTCTGCACGTGCCTGGAACCCACTCGGACCCCAGCCATGGGAAGAGGGGCAGTGCCGACAGCTTGGTGGAGGCTGTGAGTCCAGAGGGCATATAGACAAGACGGATGGGGGAGAAGGGGAGGAGGTGGGTACTGGAGGAGGACGGAAAGGAGTCCCCAGGTCCTGTGTTGTGCATGTAGATATCCCTTTGCCCTACGACCTCTGCTCACCCCTGTCCCCCACTGACTTCCCTACATGCCCTCATGGGCACGTCATTTATCCACACTGAACCTTCTGTGCACACTGTGCCGTCCGTCAACACTGATCCCACCTGTGCCCCCAGGTGCTTATCTCAGAGGGTCTGGGCCTCTTTGCTCGAGACCCACGTTTCGTGGCCCTGGCCAAGCAGGAGATTGCAGATGCGTGTCGCCTGACGCTGGATGAGATGGACAATGCTGCCAGTGACCTGCTGGCACAGGGAACCAGCTCTCTCTATAGCGACGAGGAGTCCATCCTCTCCCGCTTCGATGAGGAGGACTTGGGAGACGAGATGGCCTGCGTCCACGCCCTCTGAATTCCCACCCCTCCCCAACTGCTCAATAAACCTCCTGCCCTCCCCTCCCCAGCAGGAGGCAGGCATGGACCACATCCCTGGATTTTGTTGTCTTTGCACTGGGGGTCTGGGGCTGCCCAGGGGCCCCCATCCATCCATCCCCTGTTCTAGCCCTGAGCCACTGCCCACACACGGGTATTTCCAGAAACCAGGACAGCCAGGCCTGATTATTCAGCGTCAGGGAAGGAGGGAGGAGGAGGAGGAGGAGGAAGAGACAGCAGCCAAAAAAAGCTGGAGGCAGAGTGGAGGAGGGGGGAGGGGGAGGGCACTGGACAGAGATGGAGGAAAGGGGAGAGAGCGGGTGTGAGGGGTGCTTGGACCCAGAGAGGAAGAGAGGCAGAGATTTCACCAGGGCTCAGCCAGGTCAAACTAGGAAGGGTAGACGGATGAGAAGGAAAGGACAAGGAAACCCAGAGAAGAATCCTGCCAGGGGAGAGGCCTGGAGGTTGGAATCGGCCTGGTATGTGATGCATCTTAGGCAGAGGGGTCCTCTGACGGCAACAGGAATTTTAGGGTGGCTAAATTGAGATCGCTCTGTCTCCCATCTCCCACTTTCTGCCTGAGAAAGAAAAGAAAACCTAAATCCATCAGTAGACAACATAGGTGACAGCAAAGGTCAGGGCTCCCAGCCCTGGGGAACCCACTCAGGGCCCACCTGGCTTTCCTGAGACCACCTAACAGTAACCTACTCTTATCCCACACAGATCCCAGAGGTCCTCTCTGCTTCTTGCCCCAGCTTTACTCTTCACCCAGCCTTTGGGGTTACATTCGCTCACTGAAGGCTTATCAGGCATTTACTATGTGCCAGGCACCGGCTCTGGGTTTCTCTCGGGGCAAACTGAACTGGTTGAAACACGGGACAGGTCTCATCCAAAGTGGGAGTCAGCCCCACTCCAGAGGAATTGAAGGTAGCATTGGGAGTGGTGCAGGATGAGACCACCAGTCGGGGAGGAACTCTTCCCAGCTCCCAGAACAGGGGTGTCTCATTTGTATAATCTGCGCCAATCAAGCCAGGACTGAAATTTGAGGGAAGCCAGAATTGGAGACTAGGACTGAGAAGATTGAGTTACATTAGGCCTTGAAACAAAGGCTTAAAGTGGTTGGGCTGGAGTTAGGTGAGAACAGCAAGTCATGGGCAGGGCACAGAGAGTGAAGGGAGACTGTTGAGGGATGAGGTGGGAGAAGCCACTGAGGCCAGATCAGGTGGAACCTTGAATGCCAGGTCCCAAACTCTGGGATTTTTCCTATAAGCAGTGGGGAGCCATGGGAGGGATTTGAGTAGGGTAGTGACATAGTTAACATTGCATTTTAAATAGATGTTCTGACGGCTGTGCTGAAAACAGAAGGGAGGGGGAAGAGACTGGAGATGCTAAAATTGGCAGGAATGATGGTCGCCTTAGCCAGAGGAGGTGGCAGAGGAGATGGTGAGAAGTGAGTGGATTCCAGAGATGTGTAGGAGGTAAAATGAACCATTTATTGGGCCCTGTGCTAACTGCATTACAGTGATCATCTCGTTGAATCAGTGCAACAACCTTATAGGTATCATTTTAAACCATCTTACCTGTCCAGGGTCAAACAAGAAGTATCAGAGGTGGCATTCAAATTCAAGCAGTTTGATGCCAAGATCCATGCTTTTAACCCCTCCTGTGTACTGCTTCCCCAATAAGGCAACAACAGGGAAGTATCCATTACATATATGTGTGAATTTTCATGTTTAAAAAAACAGGTATTGAGCTGGGCATGGTGACTCATGCCTGTCATCTCAGCACTTTGGGAGGCTGAGGCGGGAGGATCACTTGAGCCCAGGAGTTCAAGACCAGCCTGGGCAACAAAGTGAGACCTCGTCTCTACAAAAATATTTAAAAATTAGCTGGGCGTGGTGTCTCACGCCTGTGGTCCCAGCTACATAGGAGGCTGAGGCAGGAGGATCGCTTGAGCCCAGGAGGTCGAGGCTGCAGTGAGCCATATTCATGCCACTGGACTCCAGCCTGGGCAACACAGGGAAACCCTGTCTCAAAAAAAAGATATTCATTCAGATGGTTCAAAATTCAAAAGGTAGGCCAGATGCAGTGGCTCACACCTGTAATCCCAGCACTTTGGGAGGCCAAGTGGACAGTGGATCACTTAAGGTCAGGAGTTCACAACCAGCCTGGCCAACATGGCAAAACCCCATCTCTACTAAAAAAAAAAAAAAAAAAAAAAAAAATAGCCGGACGTGGTGGTTTGTGCTTGTAATCCCAGCTACTCAGGAGGCAGAGGTAGGAGAATCGTTTGAACCCAGGAGGCGGAGGTTGCAGTGAACTGAGATTGCACCACTGCACTCCAGCCTGGGCAACAGAGTGAGACTCTGTCTCAAAAACAAAACAAAACAAAACTACTGAGATGCTGTTTTTCATCTTTCAGGGTGGTGAGTATCAAAAAGTTTGATAATGTTCCATACTGGCAGGTTGGCCAGAAACAAGCGTTCTCATAAATCGCTTGTGGAAGTTTCATTGGTATAACCTGTGTAGAAGGCAACTGGGCAAAATCTAGAAAAATAAATTCATTTACTGTTTTGTTCAGCTTCATACTTCTAGGAATTTCTTACAGGTAGACTCATATATGTGCTAAAAGGTGTATGTATAAGATGATACACTACCAGGCTGTTTATTTTTTTATTTTATTTGAGATGGAGTCTCAAAAGGTACAAAGGGGTATAAAGTGAAAAGTTTCCCTACCCTCTGGAAGCAAATAGTATTATCAGGTATCTTTCACAGACATACAAGATGGTGTGCTGAAAAAAAAAAGATGGTGTACTGATAAGTTAGCACAGTGGCTAAGAGTAACAGGTGCTGGAGCCAGACTTCCTGGGTTCATATCCTGGTTCTACCAATTTACCAGCTGTGTGAACTTAGGAAAATTCCTCTCCGCCTCTTAGTTTATTCAGCTGTAAAACAAAGATAGTTGTCGTACCTGTCACATAGGGTTACAGTAAGAATTTAAGTGAGTAATACAGGCAAAGTTCTCTAAAGAGTACTTGACAGAAAACAGCCACAATTTAAATGTTAGCTATTCTCTGTCTGATATAACCCTTCTCTTCTCTTTGTACACAATTACCACACAGTTTGACATCTTGCATTTTTTACTTAACTAAATATCTTGGCAATCATTCCATAGTTCCATGTTATTATAATGACAGCGGCATAGTATCAGAGTTTATTTAAACAGGCTACCAACAATGAGCACTTTGGGAGTGTCCATTCTTTATCCTATTATAAACAGCCCTGGCCTGGCCCAGTGGCTCACACCTGTAATCCCAGCACTTTGGGAGGCCGAGGCAGGCAGATCACATGAGGTCAGGAGTTCATGACCACCCTAGCCAATATGGCGAAACCCCATCTCTACTAAAACTACAAAAAAAAAAAAAAAAATTAGATGGGCGTGGTGGTGAATGCCTGTAATCTCAGCTACTCAGGGAGGGTGAGGCAGGGAGAATTGCTTGAACCCGGGAGGCGGAGGTTGCAGTAAGCGGAGATCATGCCACTGCACTCCAGCCTGGGCAACAGAGTGAGACTCCGTCTCAAAAAAAAATAAAAAATAAACAGCCCAGTCATGTATTATCTTATACATATATCTTTTAGCACATGTATGAGTCTATCTGTAAGATGAATTCCTAGAAGTATGAAGGTGAACCAAACAGTAAATGAATTTGTTATTTTTTTTTTTTAGATTTTGCCCGATTGCCTTCTACACGTTATACCAATGAAACTTCCACAGGCGATTTATGAGAACGCTTGTTTCTGGCCAACCTACCAATACGGAACGTTATCAAACTTTTTGATACTCACCACCCTGAAAGATGAAAAACAGTATCTCAGTATTTTTGTTTGCTTGTTTGTTTTTGAGATGGAGTCTCGCTCTGTTGCCCAGGCTGGAGTGCAGTGGTGCAATCTCGCCTCAGTGCAACCTCCGCCTCCTGGGTTCAAGCAATTCTCCTGCCTCAGCCTCCCAAGTGGCTGGGATTACAGGCGCCTGCCACCACAGCCAGCTAATTTTTGTATTTTTAATAGAGATGGGGTTTCACTATGTTGGCCAGGCTAGTCTCAAACTCCTGACTTCAAGTGATCCACTGTCCACTTCGGCCTCCCAAAGTGCTGGGATTACAGGCATGAGCCACTGCGCCTGGCCGAAGTTGAGCATCTTAAGCCCCAACTGTATTTTGGATTTTGCATCATAGCCATCACTGTTGACCTTGATGGGCCTAGTTTTAGTCGCAGGAAGGAGGGTTATTCCAATTAAGAGAGAGCTAAGGAATAAATAGGTAAAGTGGTAGAGTTCGAGTAGGCATTAATTTGACAAAGAGGAAGAAAGAAATAAGGGAGATGGCTAGATGGGGGCAGGAGTTTCAGGGTGTGCTTAAAATGCAGACTATGAAAAAGGAACCTGGAAGGCCTTGAACCGTGTTTAAACTGCAGGGACTCTGGGCACTGCCAGCTAGTAGCTGGCTGACCTTGTGAGAGTCACTTAAGCTCTCTGGGGAATTATTTTCCTCGTCTGTAAAAACGGCCTAATAGTCCCTACAACGTAGGACTTCTGTAAGCATTAAATGAGTGAACATGTTTAACAAACTCAGAAAAGAGCCTGGCAAAGTTGTCACACTGTAGGACCGAGCAGGGAGGTCTCCTCTCCCCGGCCCTCGACTTGTGTTTTCCCAACGCATATTCCCGCACGCTCTCACGGCTCCAGCCTCCGGGCCGGAATGGCTGCCGGTGAGACTGTGGTACAACCCGCTGTGCGCAGGCGCGTGGCGGGCAAGGAGGGGGCGCGAGGGGCGGGGCTGCAGCCGCCTGGGCTGTTCCAACGAGCGCGCGCCGCCCCCGCCGCGCCCCGCGCCGCCCTTGCTAGCCGAGCCTCCCGCCCCCTGCATTGCTGATGCTGCTGCTGGCGGACATGGACGTGGTGAATCAGGTACGCGCTCCAGCACCGTGGACAGAGCCCGCCGCCGCCCGGCTGCCTAGGCCGGGTCGCTCAGGCCAGCCGACTCTGGGAGGTGGTGGCCAGGGTCTGGCAGCGGAGACCCGGTCCCCGGCGCTGGGGATGGGGGTCTGCGGCAGGTGAAGGGGAGGAAGGGGGAGGTGGAGAAAAGGAGTGCGCTCTTTGCCGCAGCGAGGGCCGTCCTCACTGCCGCAGCGGGGGCCCCCGGAGCCCCGTTTATTACTGGCGACCGCGAGGGGAGGAATAGGGGCCTGGGGGCTGGAGTGAGGGCAAGGGACAAGGGGAGGGGAGAGTGGAAGGAAGATGGGGGGTGCTGCGGATAAGCTAGGAAATAGAGCGACAGAAGGTGTGGGGGCGGGGATGGGGGAGAGGGCTGGCACCCGCCCCTCCCAAACAGAGACTGTACCCCCATAGGCGACCACCCCTTCCCCCAGAGCACACCTAGGGGACAATCCGGTTTTACTCCTTCCAAAACCCCCAGCCTCCTCACCCCCAACACATAGCGACTGAAGCCGTGTCCCAGCCCTCCCCCACCTTAATCAGTCCAGACCCTCTCCGCCATGTCTCTCGTCTTTGCCACCTCAGAAACTCACCCCCAATCAGTCCCAACCCTTCCCCATCCCCATCACCTCAAATATCTACCGCCACCGCCGTCTAACACACCTTTACCCCTGCAGACCCTTCCCCCACCTGAGCCAAACCGACTCCTGCCCCGTTATGACTCACCTTCACCATCACAACCCCCCCACCCGAATGCACCCCACTCCATCCCCATTCTCTACCCGAACCCCTTCCCCATCCGACTCGCCTTTACGTTTCAAACCTGCTCCCCCTCCTTAACTAGTCCTGACCTCATCCCCATCTCCCTCACCCCCGACTTCCTCTGCCATCTGACTCACCATCTCTTCAGACCTTCCCACCAGTCCTTGGACCCTGGGGCTCACACCATCCCCAAGGTGTCACTTTCTCCTTCTCACCCTCTCCCCGAGGTCACATGCTCCATCCCCTGGGGTCATTGATGGGCAGCCTTGCCGCTCACCTCCCTGTACCTCCAACAACCCCACCCCTTCCCCACTGTTTCTCTCCTCAGCTGGTGGCTGGGGGTCAGTTCCGGGTGGTCAAGGAGCCCCTCGGCTTTGTGAAGGTGCTGCAATGGGTGAGTGTGGTCCGGGCTGTTGGGGCAGAGTGCAGGGAGAGAGGGAGGTCATGGGGTCCAGAAGAGCAGGGGTGGAGTAGGGGCGAGTAGCCAGGGATGAGTGCGGGGGTTGTAGGGGATGGGGGAATTGGGCTCCAGGGTGAGGTTTCAGGGGTCTGAAGCCAGAAAACAGATGAGCTGTGACGTCACATAGGGCTGAGGGTACCCCCGTTGTGAAGTGGGAGACTGTGACGTCCTACCTCCTCTCTTGAAGTGAGGGAGGGGTGGGGGAGGTGGAGCCTGTAGCAGATGCTGGGTGAGAGATGCAAAGTCAGAGAAACCCAGAGACAGTGAAGGTGACAGAGAGAATGAGGGACAGGGAATGATAAAGACAGAGATGGAAATACTGAGAAAAAAAAAAGAAATATGGAGATGAGAAGAGATACAGACATAAGAGAGAAGAGACAAACAGAAACAAAGAAAAAGGAGACACAGAAAACAGATGCAAAGAGAAACAGACGCAGGGAGAGAGGCAGGAAAACAGGGTGAGGGAGAGAGAGACACAGAGAGAAAGAGACACTCAGAAAAAAGAGAAACCAACACACAGAGGCAAGAGGGAGACAGAGAGAGAACCATCCGGAGACCGAGTGAGAGACAGGACAGAGAGACAGAGACAAACAGACCAAGAAACAGAAAGACACAGACATACAGGCATACACTTACACAGACAGAGAAAAAAGAGACAAAAAGAGACATCGACAGATCAGATAGGCAGAGGCAGAGAGGATCAGAGACACAGAGAGACAAAGAGACATCTGAGAAAGACAAAGACACATAGAGAAACAGAGATACCGAGAGAAACAGAGACACAGTGAGATACACAGAGAACAACAGAGACAAACAGAGAAGAGGGAGGTCAGCATGGAAAGGCAGAGACAGAGAGAGACACAGAGAGAGAAACAGGAAGAGACAGCCATACCCTTGTAATCAGCTTGTCCTTGGTCCCGATGAGCCCTGATTAGGGGGTGGGGGTGGGGACTGCTCCATCTGCTGCTGCCTGTGCTGGGCCCCCGATCTGTCCAGAGGAGGGCACCTCCCTCCCACATGCACACAGGTTCACTGTGGCCATCCCCATCCCTGCTGCCCAAGGTCTTCGCCATCTTCGCCTTTGCCACATGCGGCAGCTACAGTGGGGAGCTCCAGCTGAGCGTGGATTGTGCCAACAAGACCGAGAGTGACCTCAGCATCGAGGTCGAGTTCGAGTACCCCTTCAGGTGTGCTCCCACCCTGGGATACCAACAGACCTGGGAGAGGAAGGGGCAGGGTGGAACCGGCCAATACCTCCCCCCGCAAGTAGCTCCTGCCCAGCTCCCACCTCGAGGCTACATCCACTGGGATCACTGAGCACCTGCCTTGTACCTGGCACTGCTCTGGACTCTAGGACTATGTGGTGAGCAAGGCAGACATAGGCTGTGGCCCTCTGGCTCTGTTCCAGCGAAGGGGTAAGGGACAGGCAATAAACAAGATACAAAAGTAAGACAGGTGTATATACATACCTTAACCCAGTAGGTACCCAATTAATGTTAGCCAATATTATTATTTAATCCCCATTCATTCATTCTATACACATTTTTGAGAACTTATTTTATATCTGGTACTACTCAAAGTGCTGGAAGCATGATAGTAACTAAAACAGACCCAACTCCCGCCAGGCACAGTGGCTCACGCCTGTAATCCCAGCACTTTGAGAGGCCGAGGTGGGCGGATCACCTGAGGTCAGGAGTTCGAGACCAGCCTGACCAACATGGAGAAACCCCGTCTCTACTAAAAATACAAAATTAGCCAGGCGTGGTCATGCATGCCTGTAATCCCGGCTACTCAGGAGGCTGAGGCAGGAGAATCACTTGAACCTGGGAGCCGAAATCGCGCCATTGCACTCCAGCCTGGGCAACAAGAGCGAAACTCCATCTCCAAAAAAAAAAAAACCAGACCCAACTCCCTACCTTCATGGAGCCTACATTATAACAAATAAATTAACAAAGAGGATAATAGCAGACTGAGAGAAACTCGAGGAGATCCTCATGTAGGGTTTTATGGTAGAGAATAGAATAATGAGGGGTGCTGCTTAGATATAGGGAAAAATTAAACCCAATTAAACAATTCTGACATTTATTGAGCTCACACTGTGTGCCGGGCAATACACTGGGTGCTAGGTGCACAAGAATGAGCACGGCTGGCATGGGCACTACCCTCACAATGATGTTTACCTCCTGCAGGGTGGGATGACAGAGACCCACAGACACAATCCCCGCACAGGTTTCTGAGACTCCCCCACTATTTGGCCAAATCACATAACCACTCTGGGTCTCAATTTCCTCATCTGTAAAAAGGAATACTAATAATATCTACCTCACAGGGTCGTGGTTAGCATTCAATGAGTTAATATTCATCAGGTGCTTAGCACAGTGCCTGGCACACAATAAGTGCTCCATCAGTGTCTGTTCAATAAGTAAAATAAATTTAAGGGACTCAGGAAAGAGGACAGGGGTTGAGTTGGAAACTGGGGGTCTTCGAGTACTGAGGGTAAATGTAGGCTCAAGTGATCACCCAGTGGGGAGATGGAAGAGTGAAAGTAGAAGAAAACCTAGCACAGGCCCTGAGCAATGATGGAAAAGAGAGGAGATGCCGGGAAAGTGTGGCCTGAGAGGCAGAGGGGCAGCCAGGTATCCATGGGTCCACAAAGGCAAGGGAGAAAAGAGTCTGGGGAAGGAGGGGGAGCTGGCAGCAAGGGACACTGCTTAGAGCCAGTCCTTTGGGGATCCACAAGACCACAACCATCCCCTGTGCCCCCTCCCCACGCCTCCCATGTCTAGAACTTTGGGTCCTAAGGCTCTAGCCCACAAGTCCCCTAGAAAAACAGTCTTGGCCCTGGGTCCCCCTGAGCAAAATCCCTCCCAAACTGCCCTAATACCCAAGGACCTCTCATTCCCTCTTAGGGACCCCCTCTCCTGACCCAGCCCACTAGAAACAGAAACTCAAACCCAGATGCAACTCCTAGCTCCATCATTTAGGAGCTGTACAACCTTGGGCAAGTAATAACCTTGCTAAGCCTCTGTTTATTCATCTGTAAAAAGGGTCTAATAATGCCTTCTTTAGAGAATTGCTGGAGGCTGTCATTAATGAGACATTTATGTAAACTGCTTAGTAGGTGACTAATAAGTGCAAGCCTCTTCCCTCAGGGCCTTTGCTACACAAAGGCATTGGCACCATTTGCTCAGTCTCAGGATCCTGGCCTCCAATCTGAGACTGTGCTCCAGAACTTCTCCCACAGACATTTTCTCTCTACAACCCCCACCTCTCCTCCATCACACCACAGGAAAGGCCTTAGTCCCAGGACACCTCCCCTCTTCCCTCACATACACACACCCTGTTCCAAGATCCCTTTACCCTCCTTTCTTTCTGTCTGTCTTTTCCTGTTATCTAGTCGCTGGCCTCTCCTCTGCTATGCATACATTTTTTTCTCTCGGGGACCTGAACTGGGGTGGGGGAGAAAAGTCAACATGAGATAGGGAGAAAACAAGGTTCAGATCTCAACTCTGACATTCCCTTGCCAGCTGTGTGACTTTAGGCAAGTTAATGCACTTCCCTGAGCCTCTGTTTCCGCCTCTGTACATTTCATTTGATAAACATTTCTTGAGTGTCTGCTAGGTGCCAGCACTGTTCCAGGGCCTGGAGATAAACGGAGGTGAAAACACAGGAAAAAGCCCTGCCCTCTTGTAGTTACAGCAAAAACCAAGATTAAAAAAAAAAAAAATACCTGGTATGTCAGATGGGTACCACTACTATCGAGAAAAGTGGAGCAAGGAAGCCAGGCTAAGAAGTGCTGGTTGAGAGAATGTTTCAATTTAATTTTAAGTAGGGAGATCAGGGAAGGTCTCAATGAGAAGGTGACAGTTGAGCAAAGCTTCAAGGAGATGAGGGAGGCCGGGCGCAGTGGCTCACGCCTGTAATCCCAGCACTCTGGGAGGCCAAGGCGGGCAGATCACAAGGTCAAGAGATCAAGACTATCCTGGCCAACACGGTGAAACCCCGTCTCTATTAAAAGTACAAAAATTAGCTGGGCGTAGCGGCGCATGCCTGTAATCCCAGCTACTCAGGAGGCTGAGGCAGGAGAATCGCTTGAACCCGGGAGGCAGAGGTTGCAGTGAGCCGGGATTGTGCCACCGCACTCCAGCCTGGTGACAGAGCAAGACTCCATCTCAAAAAAAAAAAAAAAAAAAAAAAGGAGATGAGGGAGTAAGACCCGAAGCTATCTAGGGGAAAAGCATTCCTGGCAAAGGGAACAGCCAGTACAAACAAAGATCCTAGGGAGGGAGGATGCCTGGCAAGTTCTAGAAATAATCAAGAGGCCAGAGTGCTTGGGTTGGAGTGAGGGATGAATAACACCTATCTCACCAGGATGTTTTGAGCAATCAGTGAAATGTGACTGGTACATAGTAGGTGCTCGATGAATGGTTATTTCCTCCTCTTCCTGGGGCCTTGTCAGAAATGGGGGGACCCATGATTGGGCTGGAGGGTTGAGGGTGTTCTGAGGGGCTGGGCCACACCTGCCCACCTCTGTTTGCAGGCTGCACCAAGTGTACTTTGATGCACCCACCTGCCGAGGGGGCACCACCAAGGTCTTCTTAGTTGGGGACTACTCCTCGTCAGCCGAATTCTTTGTCACCGTGGCCGTGTTTGCCTTCCTCTACTCCATGGGGGCTCTGGCCACCTACATCTTCCTGCAGAACAAGTACCGAGAGAATAACAAAGGGCCCATGCTGGTGAGTCCCCACAGCCACTTGCATGTAGGGACCATGGGGACACGGAACCCCAGGGACACAGCCATGCTCACAGACCACACCAAATCCCAGACAGGCCCACATGCAAACAGCCACCATAACAGCCACACATATAGTTGCTGCTGCTATTAATCCACACCAGGCATCCGGGACACAGAGTCATAGAGTCACGGAGACATACAGCCTATGCAGAATCCCAGACAGGCCCACACCTGAGAACCTTCCCACTCTCACACAACTACACAGCCTAGATCAAAGGAAGAGGCCCACAGAGGTTCGCTGTGACAGTCATGCCTGTCATCATGCCACACAGACACACTGATTCCTACACCACTGTACTCACATACCCTCAGCCTAGACACAAAATGACAAAAATTCCCACATGCAGACAAAAGTAGAAAGACACATTACTTTCCACAGATTCGGAAATCATCCCAGAGTTCCCCTCCCCCCAACACCCACAGCCACATATCACAATCACACTCCCACATCCTCTGTGTCATGTACACACACAAGCTCAAGCTGGGAGGGCCACCTTCAGGTGAAAGTGTTGTGGGCTTGAGAGCTGAAAAGGCAGGGGAGAGACAGGCCTCTTCTGGGGGACCTGTGATCCGAGGAGGCCCCAGGGCCTAGCGTGAAGCAGTCCACTCACAGTGCTGTCTTCCTCACCCCTGCCTGCCTTAGGACTTTCTGGCCACGGCTGTGTTCGCCTTCATGTGGCTAGTTAGCTCATCGGCATGGGCCAAGGGGCTGTCAGATGTGAAGATGGCCACAGACCCAGAGAACATTATCAAGGAGATGCCTGTCTGCCGCCAGACAGGGAACACATGCAAGGAGCTGAGAGACCCTGTGACCTCGGGACTCAACACCTCGGTGGTAAGCCCTGGGTGCTGGCTGGAGGAGGGAGAGTGGAAAACAGTACAGTCCGGCATGGGGAGTGGTGGAGTGGGAGAATAAGAGGAGAGTCAGGGGAGATCCAAGGGGTGTCCCTGAAGAACGCGTGCCAACAACAACGTTGAAGGATGAGCTAGCAATTGTAACCACTGTGACACCACAGACTGTCCCCAAAGGGGGAACATGACAGGTTTGGGAGACCTGGATCCCAGACCCAGCCTAGACATGTAAAATAAGCAACTCAGCACCCTCTTGGGACCTCAGTTTCCTCATGTGCAAAATGAAGGAAAAACTTGAAATGTTTCCCCACTTGGATGCCCCCTACTGGCTGGAGTCAGACTGTCTGCGCTCAAATCCCAGCTCTACCTCTTGCAAGCTCCCTGACCTGAAACTAGTCACAGCCTCTCAAGGTTCAGTTGAGCATGCATAATCGAAGACTAATAATAGGTCCTGCTCCAAAGTTGAGTATTTATTGAACTAAGAATACGGAGTGCTCAGAAAAGGGCCTGGCACAAGGTAAGTCGTATACAAGGGTTACAGATGCTAAGATTACAACTTTTCTTTCCTGTCACTTGCTGGATGTGAGACTTCAGGTAACTTAGCCTCTAGGGCCTCAGTTTCCTCAACTGTAAAATGGAGATAGTATTTCCTGCCCAAAACTGAATTTTAAGTGAGCTTATAACATGTAAAGCTCTTAGAAGAGGGCTTGGCATATAAGGAAAGGTACAGAAAGTGTTTTATGTCTTAAAATTACTTTATGTGGCCGGGTGCGGTAGCTCACGCCAGTAATCCCAGCACTATGGGAGGCCGAGGCGGGCAGATCACCTGAGGTCGGGAGTTCAAGACCAGCCTGACCAACATGGAGAAACCCCATCTCTACTAAAAATACAAAATTAGCTGGTGTGGTGGTGCATGCCTGTAATCCCAGCTACTCGGGAGGCTGAGGCAGGAGAATTGCTTGAACCCGGGAGGCGAAGGTTGTGGTGAGCCGAGATCGTGCCATTGCACTCCCGCCTGGGCAACAAGAGCGAAACTCCATCTCAAAAAAAAAATTATGCAAGTTTCATATATCTTATACATGTGCACTTATACATATATTTTATCTACATTTATTTAGATGCATGTTAGTGGTATAGCTATATTTAATAAGTTTGTATCCTTACATTTTACTATGAATATATTACAAATTTACATTTTAAACATGCATAAATGTGTATATAATGTGTATATGTGCAAATATGTAAATAATTGTATATGTAATACTGATAGATCGCAGCATCCCCAGGGCTCCAAATTCTTCTAACACGCCCACCCCGCCAGAGGTGATTTTTCTGCACATCGACGTTCTCGCACTGGGACTCAGAGAGTCTGGGTTTCAGAAACCCCCACCTTGCGGAGCCTACGGATTCATTCCCCGCATGCTCATTCCTGCACGCAGGGCCGCCAAGGCAATGGGCGGGGTACCACAGCCGAGCCTTGTCTCCCTGCAGGTGTTCGGCTTCCTGAACCTGGTGCTCTGGGTCGGCAACCTGTGGTTCGTGTTTAAGGAGACAGGCTGGGCCGCCCCGTTCCTGCGCGCGCCTCCCGGCGCCCCCGAGAAACAACCGGCACCCGGGGACGCCTACGGCGATGCAGGCTACGGGCAGGGCCCCGGCGGGTACGGGCCCCAGGATTCCTACGGGCCTCAGGGCGGCTACCAGCCTGACTATGGTCAACCAGCCGGCAGCGGTGGCAGTGGCTACGGGCCTCAGGGCGACTATGGGCAGCAAGGCTACGGCCCGCAGGGTGCACCCACCTCCTTCTCCAATCAGATGTAGTCTGGTGAGTGACCGGCGAGCGGTGCGGCCAAGGAGGGTACAAGGAAGGAGACGAGCGGGTCAGTGAACCAATAAGAGTCAGGGGTAGAGAGTACGTAAGGCGTTTACTGGGGCAAGTAAGGACTGAAGTTTGAAGGAGCCAATCAAGAGGCAGAACTACCTGCTAAGAGCTGAAAAACTAGCTAATGAATGGAGAAAAGAAGAATGGTGCTTCAAGATGGACAGAATGAAGAGCCAATGGGAGGGAGGTAGAAGGGCAACTCGGCGGAAAGGCGGGGGGAGAGAAGCAGAGCAACCAATAAAGGGAGGGAATATCGGGGGACTTGCGCAGTGGCGAATCAGCGGAGCGCAAGAGCCACGGAAGCGACGAGGAGGTGGGTCTTAGAAGTGACTGATAAGCCAATAGGTGATAAGGCCAATAGATGGTGAGGGTAAATGGGCGTGGATCTTGAAGGTCAGACGAGCTCACCAATCCGGGAGGAGGGGATAGATCTGCCGCCTCTCCCCAACGCTGGAGGGGAGGGAAGTAGTGTGGAATTTCAAAGGAGGAAGAGGGATAGGGTGGGGTCCTGGAAAGGTTTGCCGGCCTTCTTGCTGGGCCTTAAAAGAGAAGTGAGGGTCGGGGCTTGGTGGCTCATGCCTGTAATCTCAGCACTTTGGGAGACCGAGGCGGGCGGGCCGCTTGAGCCCAAGAGTTCGAGACCAGCCTGGGCAACATGATGAAATCCCACCTCTACAAAAAATACAAAAATTAGCCGGGCGTGGTGGCATGCATCTGTGGACCCATCTACTCAGGAGGCTGAAGTGGGAGGATCACTTAAGCCCAGGAGGTTGAGGCTGCCGTGAGCTATGATCCTGCCACTGCACTCCAGCCTGGGCAACAGAGCGAGACCTTGTCTCAAAAAAAAAAAAAAAATGGAAAGAAAGAAAGGAAGAAAAAAAGAAAGAAAGAAAAGAGGCCAGGTGAGGTGGCTCATGCCTGTAATCCCAGCACTTTGGGAGACCAAGGTGGGCAGATCACCTGAGGTCAGGAGTTCGAGACTAGCCTGGCCAACACGGTGAAACCCCGTCTCTACTAAACATATAAAAATTAGCCGGGCATGGTGGCGCACGTCTGTAGTTCCAGCTACTCTGGAGGCTGAGGCAGGAGAATCGCTTGAATCTGGGAGGCGGAGGTTCCAGTGAGTCGAGATTGCGCCACTGCACTCCAGCCTGGGCAACAGAGCGAGACTCTGTCTCAAAACAAAAAAAAAAAGAAAAAGAGAAGTGAGATTTCCCTCAGATAGGAGGGAGGATATAGGGGAGGAAAGGCAGGAGGAAAAGGCTAAGGGGTGGCTAAAAAGTGGGGGAAGGCAAGAAGGTGGCAATACTTGGATGGAGGTAGCTTCTGACACTGGGTTAGCCAGGATGGAAAGGGCATCCCACATCTAATTCATCAAAAAATCCTGTGGGTCCTACCTTCAAAAAATATATCCTTCATCTTCCACTGTCATCTCTCCCAGACCTCTTCTCAGGTCTCCATTTCCATTCTGTTCTACTCACAGCATCTGGAGGGATTCTGTTAAATCCTAAATTAGGCCACAGTCCTCCTGTGTCAGAACTCTGCCCTGTCGCAGGCTGGGCGTGGTAGCTCACGCCTGTAATCCTAGCACTTTAGGAATGCTAGACTTGAACTCCTGGGCTCAGGTGATCCTCCCACCTCAGCCTCCCAAGTAGCTGAGACTATAAGTGTGAGCGACCATGCCCAGCTCACTTTATTTTTTCCATTTCACTTATTATTGTCACCCTATGTTATACGAGATAATCCACTCATGCATCATGTTCGCTGTGTGAAGTCTATCTCTGCTTCAGTATAAGCTCCACAAAGACAGGGATCTTTGTTTTGCTCAATATAGTTTATCACAAATGGCTAGAACAGTACCTGTTAAGGGACTATTTTTTTGGTTGGAGGAAGGAGACTGTAATCTCTTTGGTACCTAACCCAGTGGGGGCAAGGTCAGGTATATCTTCTCAGCAGAGGCAGCTGGGATGAAGCTGGCTCCAGGAAAGAAGAAAAGACATAAAGCCAGGACAAAGGCATAACAGCCCAACCCCTATCTGAGGGCGCCACCCATGTCAGACCCCCTCTCCTTTCTGTGTCTTTTGTCTCTACAGGTCAGTGAAGCCCAGGAGGACCTGGGGGGGGCAAGAGCTCAGGAGAAGGCCTGCCCCCCTTCCCACCCCTATACCCTAGGTCTCCACCCCTCAAGCCAGGAGACCCTGTCTTTGCTGTTTATATATATATATATTATATATAAATATCTATTTATCTGTCTGAGCCCTGCCCTCACTCCACTCCCCTCATCCACTAGGTGCCCAGTCTTGAGTGGGCCCCCTCTCTTACCCCGTCCCTTTCCCTGCATCCCTTGGCCCCTCTCTGTTTACCCTCCCTGTCCCCTGAGGTTAAGGGGATCTAAAAGGAGGACAGGGAGGGAACAGACCTCGGCTGTGTGGGGAGGGTGGGCGTGACTTCAGACTCTCTCCTCTCTCTCCCTCCACTCCTCCCAACTCTGGCCTTGGTTCCTCCAGCAATGCCTGCCTGAACAAAGGCCGTTAGGGAAATCCAACTCCAGGGTTAAAGAAAGGCAGAGATTGGGGGGGCTTGGGGTAGAGAGGACAGTTTAGGACCCAAGGTGGTCTTGGAGAGGAGGTGTGGAGTGGAGGGGTCAGCAGGGGGGTTGGGTTCCAGACAGAGTGGATCTGGAGTCTGAAGGAGAGGAGTGCGCTAGAGCATTCTGGGGTGGGGCTTGGAAGGGCGCTGAGGGCAGGGTTCTAGAAGGGGCGAGGCTTTAAGCGAGGCAGAATGGTGGGCTCCAGAGTAGGTGGGTCTTGGATTGGTACCAGAGCCTATGGAAAGGGTGTGGCTTGGAACATTTGGGAGACTGAGCTTGATTCTAAAGGGGACAGATCTTGAGCAAGGCAAGAAGTGGGATTCAGGAATGGGCCAAGCCAGGGTTCCAGACAGGGTGGGGCTTAGAATGGGGCTTCCATGGTGGTTTCAGAAAGGGCAGCCCCTCCCCATGGTGCAGTGAAGAAAATGTTTTACAATGGCTGGGTTTGGGCAGTGGAGAGGGGACTTGGATAGGAGCTTCCAGATGGGTTTTGTTAGGGGTGGGGGAGAATGGCTCTGGCTACGACTTGGGACGGAAGTGGCCTGAGAAGAGTCGAGTGATATGGCTTGTAGGGTGAGGCGTGGGATCCAGAGAGAAGCACCCCACCACACACACCCTTCCCCACTCCCGTGATGAAACAGCTAGGTTAATAGGAGGACAGAACCAACGGGTCTGTGGGACTGGCCCACCCCTCTTCCCCCTTCCCCTGCGCCCTCCCTCCCTCCACACCTCCACCCGTCCTGGGGTGGTTGGAGGCCTGGTCTGGAGCCCCTATCCTGCACCCTCTGCTATGTCTGTGATGTCAGTAGTGCCTGTGATCGTGTGTTGCCATTTTGTCTGGCTGTGGCCCCTCCTTCTCCCCTCCAGACCCCTACCCTTTCCCAAACCCTTCGGTATTGTTCAAAGAACCCCCCTCCCCAAGGAAGAACAAATATGATTCTCCTCTCCCAAATAAACTCCTTAACCACCTAGTCTACCCGGCTCTGATTTCTCAGTGTGTCTTTTTCGGGCGCCGGGGAGGAGGTTGGCCGGGGGAGAAAGGAGGGAGAGGTGGTGAGAACAAGCTCCACCCGGACCCACCGACCGCAGTTCAGCTTGCTGCACCATTTCAGGCCCCTTCAAAAGTGTTAGGCAGAGCAGCATCCTCTGGGAAGCCTCTCCTGCCAATCACTCTGTCACTCTCTGAGTAGCCCTGCTCACCCTCCCACTACTGGCCACCAAATGCCCGGTCTTTCTAGGAGTTGGTTCTAATTCTGGTCCCTTAGCCAAGCCTCTTCCGAGCCCCTGTGGAACCCTCTCCTCAAATCCCCAAGGGGTCCGAATAGGAGGAAACCTCACATTGCCTGACCCCATCCCTAATCTTCAGACCCTACTGTCTCTCCTTTCCCTGCCTCCGCCCAGGCTGGAGAAATGGGAGACAGGTTAGGCAAGGAGGGGAGGTGGGGCGCCGGGGTGACTCCTTAGTTCATTAGTTATTCTCTTTTACCTCTCCACTCCACGGGAAGTGACAGGGACATGTGTAATGGGGGGCGGGGAGAGGTCCCCGGGGCCCGCGATGAAGGGCCTGGCCGCTGCAGTCTCCGTGCATAGAGACCCGGGCCGAGTTCTGACTGAGGCCATGGGACCCCCTCCCCCCAGCCCGGAGGCACAGCCAAGCCTGAGAGCGTGAAGGAGAGGCTCCCCGCCCTGGAACTGAGCTGGGGAAGGGGATAACTGGAGAGAGAAAAATGTGGGTGGGGGAGGGAAGGCTTTAAGATCTACTTCTCAAGACTTGGGGTGGGGGGACGGGGCTGGACAGCTAGGCTTATAAGGATGAGGGGAGAGAGGGGACGAGGGCTTTGGAACCTGGCCTCGCTGAGAGGGGAATGAGAAGGGAGGAGTGCGTATAAGATCTAGCTCTCTGGTGGCTAGGGCCAGGTTCCCAGGTTCCCAGCGAGCACCAGCTGGGGCTGCGGGTGAGGTTGGGGCCCATTGTTGCAGCATTCATCGGGGAGACCCTCGGAACCTCACCAGTGGGGAGGAGCCAAGAGGTGTCTTTAACCCCTCTCCCAAATAAGCATCCGAAATAAATCGACACAAAACGTCAACACAAGCACCCTAGCGCGCCACCCCTCTCAGTCCAGTTGGCCACCTCTGAGTCTCCCCATCCTCCACTACAGAACCTTCAAGCCCCAGGTCCCGTGAGAGGCCACGTGGCACGCCGGGATTCTGGGGGTCGTGCCTTGTGACGCCCCGCACCGGCCCGGAGCGGGAGGGCAGAGGCCTTTCCCGCGGGGCACTCCGGGCTACGTGCAGTTCACCTCTAGGCAGGGGGCGCCCTGGCAGCGGAGAGACCACATGCCCGGGGGCGGGCCCTGCGGGGCGCGCTCCTCCCACGAGGGTGTCAGGTTTACGGAACCGAGTTCCCAGGCCGGACGCGCGGTGGCCTGACGGTCGCAAGGATTACATTCGCCTGACCCGGCCCGGCTTGACCCTGCCCGGGCGCGCCATGTTCGCGCGTGGGTCCCGGAGGCGCCGCTCCGGGCGTGCGGTGAGCGGGAGTCAGGGCAGCGGTGGGGGTCGGGGGTAAACTGAGGCCCAGGCAAGGGGGCAATGGATAGGCATAGCGAATAGGTGCCCCACAGAGGATCTGGGAATCCCATCCCCTGCATTCCCAGACCTGGGGCTGGGGCTGCTGGAGGCGAATGGATGGAGGAAGGTGTAGATCTGGTGGCCCAAACCCCCTAATCACCTCTCCACACACTTTCATCAGCACTCCTGGGACCTGGTGGGGACCCCTCTCTTATGAATTGTGGGAGGGAATCCTGAGGGCCAGAGAACTGGGTCTTGAAGCCTTAGGTTGAGCAGGAACCTCCTGAGCTGCTGCTTTTTTTTTTTTTTTTTTTTTTTGAGACTGAATCTCTGTCACCCAGGCTGGAGTGCAGTGGCGCTATCTCCGCTCACTGCAACCTCCGCCTCCTGGGTTCAAGCGATTCTCCTGCTTCAGCCTCCCATGTACCTGGGATTACAGACGCCCGCCACCGCGCCCGCCTAATTTTTGTATTTTTAGTAGAGACAAGGTTTCACCATGTTGGCCAGGCTGGTCTCGAACTCCTGACCTCAGGTGATCCGCCCACCTCGGCCTCCCAAAGTGCTGGGATTATAGGCGTGAGCCACCGAGCCTGGCCGACCTCCTCAGCTTCTAAAGGACACAGTACCTTGGAGGAATGTGCACGGAGGGATGGAGTCCTACACTCCTGGGATGCCGAAATGCTGAGAGTCAAGAGACTGGGATTTGGGGGGACAAGGCTTCCAGGGTTCCGCCTGAGCAAGGGAGTTTTTGACTTCTTAGATAGGAGGTTCTTTCACTTCCTTTGGAGTGGGTCTCTGACCTGGGAATGTGGGGTCTGGGTTTGATGGTCCGGAGAAGGAATAAATAGCCCTAGGATGGGATGGGTAAAGGCCAAGGTTTCTTGGGATGGGGGTTTCTGAATGGAGCAGGGGCCTCCTGAGATCCTGGGGAGGGTCCCCAGTTCCTTGGGTATCAGGGCATGAGGCCAGGGTTTAGGGGAGGAGCTCCTGAGCTTCTGAAGAGAGGGGCAGGGTTCACGTGGGGATCTCAAGGAAGAATGCGGTCTCGTCTCCTACCCTGTGGAACTGGAGTGCTGCTGGCGGCGTAGATGGAGAGGGAACCGGGATGAGGCCGGGGAGAGGATGCCCAGAGTAGGGGTTCTGTGCTCTAGTGGGGAGAGTACAATGAATTATAGGGGAGGTGCTTGAGCCCTGGAAGGATCTAAGGCTGGTGGGAGGTGTCTGAGGCTAGGGGCGGACGGGGAGGGGGGTCCGAGGCCAGCCTAGGAAGGGGAATTCCCTGAAAAGGGGACATATAAGGAGGTGGCTCCAACTGCCCCGCCTCTGCCTCGGTTGTGTCCCGCTCCCCCGCACTCTGGGCGCTGTCCCAGCCTGCCCAGCGCTGCCCAGGTAAGACAGGCCCCAGCGTGCGGTCGCGGGCAATGAAGTGGAGGGGCGGGCGTTGACTTCTCCTTCCCTGCTTCCGCGCCTCACCCGGCCCTGCATCTGCCCCCGCCCACTGCAGCCTCCAGAGGCAGAGGACCCAGACCGGGGCCAGCCCTGCAACTCCTGTAGGGAGCAGTGCCCTGGCTTCCTGCTCCACGGCTGGAGGTAAGTGGCGCCCCTAAAGGGCCTCGCCTTTGTCAGAGCTCCGCCTTCGGGGGGAAATCCAGGAGCCTTACGCCACGCCCCTACGCTTGAGCTCCGCCTACAGAGGGATCTCAGTTGGGAAAAGAGCCTCAGGCTCAGATTCAGAGCCCCGCCCCCTGACTCATTCCCCAAAGTCCTTTCCCAGGAGAGCTCCACCCACTACGCAGCCCCGCCCCCAGAAGTGTTCTCCCGTAGCCGCGGAGTCGCATCCCTAGGGAGATTCTTCGTCTCTAACTCTGAGCGCCGCCCTCTGGCCTCCAGCACCCCTCTTAGACTCAGACCTACTCTCCCAGGCCCAGCGTCCTATCCTCCTGCTGGAGCCCTGCACCCAATAAACAGAGCCTACAGCCCCCAGACTCAGGCCCTACCCACAGGCTCAGAGCCCACAAGTTCAGAGCCTCACCACAGGTTAGATGCCTGTGTCTAGTGAAAGTTCCCCCACAAAGCATCCCACTCCCCACGACCTGTCCTCTGGCTCACAGCCCAGCCACACCCTGGCTCATAGGCCCACCTCCTGCAGCCCTGCCCCCAGGCCCAGATCCCTGTCCCTGCTCACAGACCTTTGGTGGTGATAATCTGTATGTCCCCGCTCCTCCATTGGACCTGGGCTGCCGAGGGGTTCGGGTGGGCAACTCCTTAGTAATTGACCCCCATCCCGGCCCCCTCAGAAAGATCTGCCAGCATTGCAAATGCCCGCGGGAGGAGCATGCAGTGCACGCGGTGCCTGTGGACCTGGAACGCATCATGTGTCGGCTAATCTCGGACTTCCAGCGCCACTCCATCTCCGACGACGACTCAGGCTGTGCATCGGAGGAGTATGCCTGGGTGCCCCCAGGCCTTAAGCCGGAGCAGGTGACCAGAGGCCAGCCCTCCACTCTTGCTGTCCAGTGGGTGCACACTAATGCTCACACACACACACACACACTCAGGTGGGAACCTATTTCTGGGGCTACGCTAGAGTGTGCAGTCAGACCGAGGGTCCTTCTGGCCCCTCTGTGATGGAAGAGTGGTCAGCCCCCCATACCTTGGGTGACTGAGGGACCAGTTCCTCAGGGCCTGTTCACCCCAATCCTATTATTTTTGATTGATTGTTTTTGAGACAGGGTCTCACTCTGTTGCCCACCACAGCCTCCCTTGTAGCTGGGACTGCAGGTGCATGCCACCCTGCCTGGCTATTTTTAAAATTTTTTTGTAGAGACAGGGTCTCCCTATGTTGCCCAGGCTGATGTTGAACTCCTGGGCTCAAGTGATCCTGCCTCGGCCTCCCAAAGTGCTGGGATTACAAGAGCAAGCCACCATGCGTGGCCCCACTCCCTATTCTACCCTCCCAGCACTTCATTCACCACATGACTTCATTGATTGACTCATTCAACACATAGTTATGGGGCACCTACTGCATGTGAGACACTGTTCTAGGCACTGAGGACACAGCAATGAGCAAAACACAAAATAACATATCTGCCCACGGGCACGGTGGCTCACGCCTGTAATCCCAGCACTTCGGGAGGCTGAGGCGGGCGGATTACTTGAGGTCAGGAGTTTGAGACCAACCTGGCCAACATGGCAAAACCCCGTCTCTACTAAAAGTACAAAAATTAGCCAGGTGTGGTGGTGCACACCTGTAATCCTAGCTACTCAGGAGGCTGAGGCAGGAGAATTGTTTGAACCCAGGAAGCGGAGGTTGCAGTGAGCTGAGATCGTGCCACTGCACTCCAGCCTGGGCAACAGAGTGATACTTCTCAAAAAAAAAAAAAAAAAAATCTGCCCAGGCAGAGGGTAGATTCTGGAAAGGAGGAACACCCAATAAGCAAACCTGTAAATATATGTCAGATGGTGTAAGGGCTATGGAATTAAAAAGCAAGGAAGGTGGGGTGAAGAAAGAGAGAGGGAAGGAGAGAGATGCTAGAATTGTAAATAGGGTGCCCAGAATAAGCCTCTGTGAGAATTTAATGGTTGAGCTGCCCGAAAGGAGGTGAGAAGTGAGCCATGCAGACATCTAAGGTTACAGCGATTCACACAGGCAAAGGGCATGGCTAATGCCAAGGCCCTGAGGCAGGCGTGTGCTTGGCATATGTAAGGGATGGCAAGGCCAGTGCTGCTGGCGCAGAGTGAGCAAGGGGGAGACCAGCTGGAGATGAGGTCAGAGATGTGGCAGGGGCTATGGAGAGGACTTTGGCTTTGCCTGTGAATGAAGGGAAGTCGCAAGAGGGTTGTCAGCAGAAGACAGCCTGGAGGAATAAGGGTGGAATCAGGAGACCAGTGAGGAACCTGATGATGATGGCACTGGCAGTGCAAGGAGTTATATATATATGGAGAGAGAGACAGACAGACAGACAGAAAGGCCGGCATGGTGGCTCACACCTGTAATCCCAGCACTTTGGGAGGCCGAGGCGAGTGGATCACTTGAGGTCAGGAGTTTGAGACCAGCCTGGCCAACATAGTGAAACCCCATCTCTACTAAAAATACAAAAATTAGTCTGGCATGGTGGCAAATGTCTGTAATCCCAGCTACTCGGGAGGCTGAGCCACAAGAATTCCTTGAACCCAGGAGGCAGAGGTTGCAGTGAGCTGAGATTGCACCACTGCACTCCAGCCTGGGCGACAGAGCAAGACCCTGTCTCAAAAAAAAAAAAAATAGGCTGGGTGCAGTGGTTCACGCCTGTAATCCCACCACTTTGGGAAGCCTAGGCAGGCAGATCGCCTGAGGTCGGGAGTTTGAGACCAGCCTGACCAACATGGAGAAACCCCGTCTCTACTAAAAATACAAAAAAATTAGCCAGGCGTGGTGGCACATGCCTGTAATCCCAGCTACTTGGAAGGCTGAAGCAGGAGAAGCGCTTGAACCCGGGAGGCGGAGGTTTCGGTGAGCCCAGATCATGCCATTGCACTGCAGCCTGGGCAACAAGAGCAAAATTCCGTTTAATAAATAATTATTTAATATATATATATGTGTGTGTATATATATATACACATATATATATACGTATATAGATACACGCGTATATATATACGTATATATACGTGTATATATATACACATATACGTATATATATACACATATATACGTATATATACACATATATATACACATATGTATACATCTATATACATATATATAAAATAATTATTTTACGTATATAATTTACGTAAATAATATACGTATAATAATTATACGTGTATATATATATATATATATACACACACACATATATATATATGGGGGGGGGTCTCACTCTGTCTCCCAGGTTTGAGTGCAGTGGCTCAATCACAGCTCACTGCAGCCTCAACTTCCTGAGCTCAAGTGATCCTCCCACCTCAGCCTCCCAAGTAGCTGGGACTACAGGCACGCATCATCACGCCTGGATGATTTTTGTATTTTTTGTAGAGATGGGGTTTTGCCATGTTGCCCAGGGTGGTCTTGGACTCCTGGGCTCAAGCTATCTTCCCCTCTGGGCCTCCTAAAGTGCTGGGATTACAGGTGTGATCCACAGCACCCAGCCTATATTTTGGAAGTAGCACTCAGAGGATTTGCTTGTGGGGGTGGGAGAAAGAGGAGTGAAAGATGACCCTGAGGATAGGTAGATTAACTGATGTGGGAGAGGCCAAGACAGGAGCAGTTTGAGGGGTAAGAGCATAAGTTTGGTTGTGGCCATCTGGAGTTTGAGATGCCTGTTAGACATCTAAATAGCCACATTGCCTGGAACTCAAGGGATAAGTTACAGAGCTGGACGTATGTGTTTGTCATTATGTGTCACAGGCTGGAGGTGACACATTAGCCAGCCAAGTAGATGATATTTACAGCCATAAGGTTGAATGTAATTCCCAAGAAATTGAATGTAGACAGAGGCAAGAGGACCAAGAGCTGAGTCCTAGGATCCTCCTGCATTTAGGGGTCAGCTAGTTGAGGAGGAGCCAAAACAGGGACAAAGAAGGAGCAGCCAATAAGGTGGAAGGAAAACCTGGACTGTGTGGTGTCCTGGAAGCCAAGGGAAGAAAGTGTTTCCAGGAAGAGAGAGTGGTCAGCTCGGTGCAGTGCTACCATCATCAAGTCTGATGACGACTGAGACCTGAACAATGATTTTAACAATGGGGAAGTCATGGATGACCTTGACAGCTTTGGAAGAGGGATGGGAGCGGAAGCCTGCCTCAAGTAGGCTCAAGAGAGATTGGAAGGACAGGAAGTGGAGTGAACACAAGTGCTCATAACTTTTTGAGGAATTTTCCTGTAAAGGGAAAAAGAAAAGTGGATCAGTAGACTGGGCGCGGTGGCTCACACCTGTAATCCCAGCACTTTGGGAGGCCAAGGCAGGCGGATCACTTGAGGTCAGGAGTTCGAGACCAGCCTGGCCAACATGGTGAAACCCTGTCTCTACTAAAAATAAAAAATTAGCTGGGCATAGTGGTATGCCTGTAATCCCAGCTACTCAGGAGGCTGAGGCAGGAGAATCGCTTGAACCCAGGAGGCGGAGGTTGCAGTGAGCCTAGATCGCGCCACTCCAGCTTGGGCAACAGAGAAAGATTCCGTCTCAAAAAAAAAAAAAAAAAAAAAAGGTGATCAGCAGCTGGAGGAGGAAGTGAGGTCAATACATGCAGGAACCCTCAGCGTGTTTGGGAGCTGGGAGCTGAGGGAAATGATCCGCCTTTAGGAAGGAGAGATGAGGGAGTCAGAAGGTCCCTCCTAATGCCTTTCATTTTCTGAGAAATGGGGACCCGCCATCTCACTGCATCCCAACTCACCTCTCATTTCAGTTGTTTTCTCCCACTCCTATGTCCTCCCAGGTATATCAATTTTTCAGCTGCCTCCCAGAGGACAAGGTCCCCTACGTCAACAGTCCTGGGGAGAAATACAGGATCAAGCAGCTGCTGCACCAGCTGCCCCCACACGACAGTGAGGTGAGGAGAGAGAAGACAGGAAGGGCATGCCAGGCACAGCACACAGCCTGGGCCAATGCAGGGCAGGGTCAGAGGAGGAAAGGTGAGCTGATCTGAGGTGAGTGGTCCAGACAGGCAGGGGTCATCAGGGGACATTCCTTGGCAAAACCACAGCTGGGCCTTGGAAGAAGAGGTGGTTACTTCAGGCAGGAGGCACCATCTATAGAAAGACCTAGAAGTAAACTTTCGGGGCATGGATGAAGTCTGGAAGAGGGGCAGGGACAGGCATCAAGGGAGGAGCCTGGGAGATGCCTTCTCCTCCCAGGCACAGTACTGCACAGCACTGGAAGAGGAGGAAAAGAAAGAGCTCCGAGCCTTTAGCCAGCAGCGGAAGCGGGAGAATCTGGGGCGTGGCATCGTGCGCATCTTCCCGGTGACCATCACTGGGGCCATCTGTGAGGAGGTGAGCCGTGGAGGGCCTCAGCGAGTGAGCAGTGCCTCTGCTCCAAGCCCTGGGGAGCAGGACACATCTTCCAAGCACTGGGAAGATGAGGCCTGCCACTTAAGCCCCAGTGAGGTGTCTCTAGGGTCCCCTCTTGTGGGCGGGGTCTGTTCCTCACATCTCACTGTTGGGCAGGGACTGTCTCTAAGGCAACCCCTGGTGGACAGGGACCTGTCCCATCAATCCCACTGTCGTGTGGGGTTTGTCTGTAAGGAGGCCTTAGTGTGTTTTTCTCCCCGTCTGTGCAGTGGACATGGGGCATGGGCTATCTCTTTGGTCCTCCTGTGGTCAGAACTTGTCCTCAAGAGCTGACCCACAGTGGCAGGGCCTGTCTGCAGGGCCCAGTGGTAAGCAGGGCCTGTCCTTAGATCCTACTGTTAGGTGAGATCTATTGCTAAGGTCCCGGTGGGTGGAGACTATCTCTGTGGTTTCCCCCACTAGGCCTGGCCTGTCTGTCTTCCCCACCCCTGATGAGGGAGGCTTGCCTATAAGGCCACCCACCATGGGTAGGGCCTGTCTCTACGGCTTCCCTCATGAGCAGGGTCAGTCTCTAAGGTACCGCCCAACCCCATCCCTGGTATAGGCAGGGCCTGTGTCAAAGTTACCCCATGGGTGGGGCTGATCACAAAGTTTCACTGTGGGAAAGGCCCAAGTGTAACATACTTTGGCTGACCCCATCCATCTGACCATCTTGGTGACAGTGATGGTAACCATCTTGGTGCTTGTCTCATGGCAGTGCGGAAAGCAGATTGGAGGTGGGGACATCGCAGTGTTTGCCAGCCGTGCAGGCCTGGGTGCCTGCTGGCACCCACAGTGCTTCGTGTGTACCACGTGCCAGGAACTGCTGGTTGACCTCATCTACTTCTACCATGTTGGCAAGGTCTACTGCGGGCGTCACCATGCCGAATGCCTGCGTCCACGCTGCCAAGCCTGTGACGAGGTTTGGGCCTCCCTGCCCAGGGGTGGGAGTTGAGGGTGGGCAGGGCCAGGAGCAGGCTCATCTGACAGCCACAGATGGCCTGCGCCCTCCAGATCATCTTCTCCCCTGAGTGCACGGAGGCTGAGGGCCGCCACTGGCACATGGATCACTTCTGCTGCTTTGAGTGTGAAGCTTCACTAGGAGGGCAGCGCTATGTCATGCGTCAGAGCCGCCCCCACTGCTGCGCCTGCTACGAGGCCCGCCACGCGGAGTACTGTGATGGCTGTGGGGAGCACATCGGTGGGTGAATGCTGTGGGACTGGACAGAGGGATGGATGGACAGCTGGGCCACAGTCCTACCCCACCAGGACTCCTCCTGTCCTCCAGGCCCCATCCTCCATTGTGCCCTGTACTTTGTCCAGCCCCAACACTATAGACCTGTACGCTTGGTTGCAAGTCCCACTCCCAATGTCCCCACTATGCCATGCTTTCTAAACCCCACCTAACACAATGCTAGGCCACCACCACATGTCTACACCCACCTCCAGAGGGTGCTCTAATTCCAGCCCCAGGGCTCGCCCTACTCCTAGCCTCTACCACCCCAAGCTGTGCCCCGTTCTCCTCCACTCTCCTGTATCAGCCTAAGTCAGGCCTAGCTTCTAGCTACACCCTATCCTCTGAGAACCACTCCTTTCTCAACAGGGCCACTCCCCACCTGCTAAGCCCTGCCCCCACCAGCCAGGCCTCCTCTTCAGGCCCAGCTTTCCATTCTCCTTCCACTTGGAGCCACCCCCTAATGTCTAAGCCTGGCCCGAATCTTAGAGTCCAATGCCCACCCCGCTCTGGGAGAGAGCACCCTGGGAAAGAAAGGGAGGAGTGAGAGAGAGGTTCACCAGCCAGTCTCCAGGAGAGAACCAAAACCTGTTTCCTGCTTTCTCCAAAAGGGCCCCATTCTGGAGGAGGGAGGAAGGCACCCAGGGGTGCCCTGCCTCGGATTCCCCACCTCTTCTTGAGAAGGGACTCGTTCACGAGGGGTGGGGTTACGCCTGGGGGTTCTGCCTCAGTTTTTCCCCCTCGTCGTTCCCCACAGGCCTGGACCAAGGCCAGATGGCTTACGAGGGCCAGCACTGGCATGCCTCAGACCGCTGCTTCTGCTGTAGTCGCTGTGGGCGGGCCCTGCTGGGCCGCCCATTCCTGCCACGCCGAGGCCTAATCTTCTGCTCTCGAGCCTGCAGCCTTGGGTCCGAGCCCACAGCTCCAGGGCCGAGCCGCCGCAGCTGGAGTGCCGGCCCTGTCACAGCCCCACTTGCAGCCTCCACAGCCTCTTTCTCTGCTGTGAAGGGGGCATCAGAGACCACCACCAAAGGCACCAGCACAGAGTTAGCGCCAGGTGAGCTAACCCTCTAGCCACACCCAGCCACAGCCCAGTCACCCCTATGTCCTTGCCCCTGCCTCAGCCCTGGCCCTTCCTTCTTGACTAGCCCAGGCCCTTCACCTGCTGTATCCCTGGGCCCCGCCCATTTCTCAGCTCATCCTCCTTCCCCACACCAGTCCAGGCCTGGTTTCCATCCCAAACTACACCCGCCTCATGAACCCTGGTTCCACCCTGTCAATACAGGGCTGGTCCCCTACCTCAACTTGTCTCTGCTTGACCCCAAGTTCCTCTTCCTCTTCTCCAGCCGGTCACCCTTCATCCTCTGCAGTCAGGCCCCACCCCTTTTATTGCAAACCAAATCTACTCCAGCCTATGCCACACCTCTTCCATCCGAAGCCACCCCGGGTGCCCTGGCCACGCCCCCCACACCAGTCCCATCTTGCTCCGTGTTCTTCCTTCCAACCCTCTCAACACCCAGAGCCTGCTCCAGGCCTCACACTTCCCAGACTTCCCACCTCCCTGCCATTCTCCGACCCCTGCCCCCACTTTCCCAGTCTTAGTGGAGGAAAGAAGGCCCTTCCGCAGGCCTCCTCTTAGGAGGGGGCCAGTGGGAGGGCAGATACAAGGAGTCACTCTGTCTCCCCCTTAACAGCTACAGGCCCTGAGGAGCCCTCCCGCTTTCTGAGAGGGGCTCCCCACCGCCACTCCATGCCGGAACTGGGGCTCCGCAGTGTCCCCGAGCCGCCCCCAGAGTCCCCCGGCCAGCCTAACCTGCGCCCAGATGATAGTGCCTTCGGTCGTCAGAGCACCCCACGCGTCAGCTTCCGCGACCCTCTGGTGTCTGAAGGAGGCCCGCGCCGGACCCTGAGTGCACCCCCGGCCCAGCGCCGCAGGCCACGCAGTCCCCCACCCAGGGCCCCCAGCCGTCGCCGCCACCATCATCATAATCACCATCACCATCACAACCGCCACCCAAGCAGACGTCGCCACTATCAATGTGACGCGGGATCAGGGTCAGACTCGGAATCTTGCTCCAGCTCGCCCTCCAGTTCCAGTTCCGAATCATCAGAGGATGATGGCTTCTTCCTAGGAGAGCGCATCCCTCTGCCCCCGCATTTGTGCAGGCCCATGCCTGCTCAGGACACTGCAATGGAGACCTTCAACTCCCCATCTTTATCGCTCCCCAGGGACTCTCGCGCAGGGATGCCTCGTCAGGCCCGAGACAAGAACTGCATCGTGGCTTGAAGGCAGGCCGTCCTGGAGGGGGCTCCATTCTCCAGTCAGAGTAGATGATGAGGCCCATGCCCCTCACCCCCACGCCCCGCCCCTACAACCTAAGTCATAAATCCTCTTCCTCCCTCCTTTATCAGTTTGTTTCTATTTTTGTTTCTGTTTTAGAGACTTGGTCTACCCTATTGCCCAGGCTGGAGTGCAGTGGTGTGATCAGGGCTCACTGCAGCCTCAAAAGTTTTGGGCTCAAGCTATCCTCCCACCTCAGCCTCCCAAGTAGCTGGGACTCCAGGCTCGTGTCAGCGTTCCCAGCTAATTTTTTAATTTTTTGGTAGAGATGGGGTTTTGCCATGTTGCCCAGGCTGGTCTAGAACTCCTGGGCTCAAGCAATCCTCCCGCAGCCTCCCAAAGGACTGGGATTACAGGCATGAGCCACCGCACCGGGCCTCTCGTTTGTATTATTGAAGTAATTTAATATTTGTTGTAAAACAGGCCTGGCTTCTTTGCCTCCTTGCCCCAGCTGTTTCCACTCCATTTCCCCCTCCTGATGCTTGAAATTTACCCACATTTGATGAAAGGATTACTTTATTCATTATCGTATATTTTAACAATGTTTATTATTCATTTATCCCTCTATAGAACCACCACCCACACCGAGGAGATTATTTGGAGTGGGTCCCAACCTAGGGCCTGGACTCTGAAATCTAACTCCCCACTTCCCTCATTTTGTGACTTAGGTGGGGGCATGGTTCAGTCAGAACTGGTGTCTCCTATTGGATCGTGCAGAAGGAGGACCTAGGCACACACATATGGTGGCCACACCCAGGAGGGTTGATTGGCAGGCTGGAAGACAAAAGTCTCCCAATAAAGGCACTTTTACCTCAAAGAGGGGGTGGGAGTTGGTCTGCTGGGAATGTTGTTGTTGGGGTGGGGAGGAGTTATTTCAATGGAGGAGTTATTTGCAGATTGCAGAGAGAAATGAGGGAAGTTCGCCTACACCGGGCCATCTGCGGGGTCTGCAGGTGAGGAAAAGAGAGAAAGCATTGGCTGAATCTATATGCCCATTTTTTAAAACAAGATCCAAAGTCCATGAACATTTTACACACAAGAATACCGAAGCTTATGGTACCTATTGGTACAAAAGCCCTAAGTACCAATACGAGACCAGAGTTGGCATTCGTGCCTTTAAGAGATCCCTTTCCTTTTTCCCTCTGCCCTCTCAGCAACCCCCTTACCCCCAACCAACACACACACACACTTACCAGTGGGGGCTGCTGTATGTCTTGGCTGCCGAACGGGGAAGGTGACATAGGCATCATAGCCAAAGAGGCACGTAGCGATTAGGCCCAGTACCTGGGGGACAGGATAGGAGTGAGGGGGTTTAGATTAGCTGGTCAGGTTACTCAGTCTCTTATCTTCTTGTATCCACCACCTCCAGCACCTGCCCCACGCAGGATGGGACTCAAGCACCGGGTTGGTAAGCCAGGGAAAGGCCAAGAGAGTGCATCCTACCCCACTCTCCCTCCTCCTATACCTCTCAACACAGGGAGGCCACACTGTGGCCCTACCCGTAGGGGGCACAATTCAAGTCATACTTTTTTTTTTTTTGAGACACAGTATCACTCTGTCACCCATCTGTCACTGGGGCTGGAGTGAGTGGCATGATCTTGGCTCACTGCAACCTTTGTCTTCTGGGTTCAAGTGATTCTCCTGCCTCAGCCTCCTGAGTAGCTGGGACTATAGGCGCCCACCACCATGCCCGGCTGATTTTTGTATTTTTAGTGGAGATGGGGTTTCGCCATGTTGGCCAGGCTGGTCTTGAACTCCTGACCTCAAGTGATCTGCCTGCCTCGGCCTCAGCCTCCCAAAGTGCTGGGAATACAGGCATGAGCCACTGCGCCCGGCCCCAATTTCTACTACATTTGGGACAAAGTTCTTGCAGATGGTAGTCTAGTGCATTGACAAAGGGGCCGCCTGTTTGTACCTCTCACCAAGGTCCTTGTGTCTGACAAGGGACTTCCCTTCACAGCAAATGAAGACCTTGGGAGGCAAAACCAAGTCCTGGGCCAGACTTTCCTCCATGTCTGAGGACAAGTGTGACTTGCTGTGGGTCACACGATTTCTGCCAGAAGCAAAGGCAGAAATGGTCCCTGGCTCCTCAAACCCTTCGCTCTGTGCTTCAGAGCTGCTCCCATGGCCTTTACCCCTGCGACGATTTTGGAGTGGTTTCCTCTCTCAACAAGGACAACAATGGAGGTGATCAGGTAGAGGATTGCCGCTATGAGGGTTCGGAAGAAATCCTGTGAGGTGTAGGGAGGAGAAGAGGGAAGTCAGCAACCACAGTTCCCCGACAATCCTAACTGCCCAGACCCCTCCCTGGTCTTGCCATTGTGGACCCCTTCTCACACTCCAGGGCCAGTTGATGAATGGTATCTTGGTGTGCAGGTCACACATGTAGACAACAAAGAAAATAGCAGCAAGGATCATCTCAATCACCGACAGGGAGGAGTAGCCTGGTGTGGAGGCACTGAAGCAGATCAGGATCACCAGGCATAATATCTGGAAGGGTGACATGGGAAAGGGGACCTCAATCAGCAACCAGGGCTGAGAAGATTGGTTTAAATTGGGGGTCCCATACTAAGATGCCTACGAGGGCTGGGGAAATGACATACAATAATAGCTAAACACTTTTTATGTGCTCACTGTGTTCCAAATTCAATCATCACGACAATCTAATGCTCTGGGTACTATTATTACTCTTTCTAATTTATAGACGAGAAAACTGAGGCACAGAGAGGTTTAATGGCTTGGCCAGGGTCACCCAACAAGTAAGGAGTAGAGTTGGGTGCCTCAGTTTCCTCTTTTCCCTTCTAGGTTACGGGCAGCCTGAGGGGAGTGGCGCTGCCAGGTGTTTTGTGAGCCCCGCTGACGCCAGCTTTGTGGCCTTGACCGGGGCGGAACACGCGGTTCCCCCAGCAACCCCTTTGGGAAGCGGTGAGAGTGACACCAGAGAGGCAGGACTCCGTTAAAGGCGCCGCACCCCTTTTACAAGTGACTCAAAGGCGGCGCCCACTTTGAGAAGGGTGGAAACCCCGAAAAGCTAAGGACATCCCGCCCGGCCTCTGAAGGGCGAGGAAGAACTGGCGAAGGGCGGGGCGCTCTACACCGCGGGACTAGCGCGGGGCGGGGGGGCCCCACCCCAACAGGCCCTGCCCCTGGGCGCGCTGCCAGCCCGCCCTCCTGTGCCCAGGCCGCGCCACGCCCTGCCACAGGAGGCCCCCACTTCCCAGCACCCTGGGACCCCTTCGATGCGTCCACTGATGAGTTCACGCAGGCTGTCCCCACGTAGCCCTCCGTATGCGTTATAGGCTCCTTGCTTCACCCCGGGGACCACCAGATCTCAACAACCTTCGTCAAACCCCACCGACTCGCCCTGCGCCCCGGGTTTCGGGCCTCCACCGTGAACCCACCCACCTGCACCCCACTGCCGAGCGCCCCGGCCAAGTGCCTGCCTCACCCGGACCATCCAGTTCCGCATGGTCCAGCCACCCCATCCCGCTTTTGCCCACGCGCCTGCCCCAGAACGCTCACAATCTCAGCAAACAGGAGGATTCCCTTTCGAGTGCGCGAGAAGTTGGTGCAGGCGGCCCAGCAGCCAGGAGCCGAGAGGCGCTCAGAATCCGCCATGGCATGGGCTGGAGTCCCTGGTGCCTCGGAGGATCTGCTCACTTGCTCGTGGTTTCGAGGACGCTGTACACCCAGCTGTCTTGCCCGCCGTCTGGCCGGGAAGGGGGCCCCGGGGCGAAGGAGGGAGTGAATCACCGCGCAGAGCTGACGCGGGCGGGGCCGGAGCCGGGCCAGGTGGCTGCCGCCCCGGAAGCCCCCTCGCCCCGCCCCCCAAGGATACTCCCAGCCTGGCGCACAGCCCCCGGGGCGCCCCATCGCAGGGGTGCTTGGCAGCTCCAGGTACCAGGAGCAGTAATAGCGGGACCCTTCGCCTTTTTGGAATGCAAATGCACCCGAGACAGCTTCAGCTTAGAACCGCGGGAATCTGGCTTTGGGATGGAGTGACTCAGTTTCCTTAACTGAATAAAACGGCCGAGGCAGAGTTAAATCCGAAAGACTTGGGGCCCAGTATGTTGCCAGAATTCGGAATATTTTTGATTTCAGAAAGTTTTCCCATGCATATACTCTCAGCGGGGTTTGGAGCTGCCGCGTTACAAAAAAAAAAAAAAAGGGCCAGGCGCGGTGGCTCACGCCTGTAATCCCAACACTGGGAGGCCGAGGCGGGTGGATCACCTGAGGTCGGGAGTTCGAGACCAGCCTGACCAACATGGAGAAACACCGTCTCTACTAAAAATACAAAAATTAGCTGGGCACGGTGACGCATGCCTGTAATCCCAGCTACTCGGAAGGCTGAGGCAGGAGAATCGCTTGAACCCGGGAGGCAGAGGTTGCGGTGAGCCAAGATCATGCCATTGCACTCCAGTCTGGGCAACAAGAGCGAAACTACGTCTCAAAAACAACAACAACAACAAAAACGGTATTTCTTCAAGAAAAGGTATGAACGTTCACAATAACTGGGTAAGGATTGAAAAGTGTTCCTCGGCTGGGCGCAGTGGCTCATGCCAGTAATCCCAACACTCTGGGAGCCTCAGGTGGGAGGATCGCTTGAGCCCAAGAGTTGGAGATCAACCTCGGCAACACAGTGAGACCTCATCTCTACAAATAATTTTAAAAATTAGCCCAGGCGGCCGGACGCGGTGGCTCAAGCCTATAATCCCAGCAGTTTGGGAGGCCGAGGTGGGCAGATCACGAGGTCAGGAGTTCGAGACCAGCCTGTCCAACATGGTGAAACCCCGTCTCTACTAAAAATACACAAAAAATGAACCGGGTGTGGTGGCGCTCGCCTATAATCCCAGCTAGTCAGGAGGCTGAGGCAGGAGAATCGCTTGAACCTGGGAGGTGGAGGTTGTAGTGAGCCAAGATTGCGCCACTGCACTCCAGCCTGGGCGACAGAGCAAGACTCCGTCTCAAAAAAAAAAAAAAAAAAGAAAAAAGAAAAAAATTAGCCCAGGCATGGTGGCACGTGCCTGTAATCCCAACTACTCGGGAGGCTGAGGTGGGAGGATTGCTTGAGCCTGGGAGTTCAAGGCTGCAGTGAACCATGATCAGACCACTGCACTCCTGCCTGGGCAACAGAGCAAGACCCTGTCTCCAAAAAAGGAAAAACAAAAAGAAAGGAAGAAAGAAAATTGTTCCTCGTTAGATCAGGTCAGGTTTTGTAACCAAATAGTGCCTATCTTGTGGGAAAACCATCAGTTTCCAGAGCTTTTTGTTTTTGGATAATGGATTGTGGACAGTGGAATAAACCTCTGAGCAGTGATGAGAATAAGACCCTGCCAGTGTAAAGGCTGTGTGAGAATAGGGGTTGGTGAGCATTGAGTTGCTCAGAAATAGGGCAAGCATTGTTTCAAGTGTTAGAGCCCAAGGCCAGGAGCAGTGGCTCATGCCTGTAATCCTAGCACTTTGGGAGGCCGAGGTAGGAGAATCACTTCAGCTCAAGAGTTCGAGACCAGCCTGGGCAACGTAGTGAGAGCTTGTCTCTATTTTAAAAAAACATATTTTGTAGTAGTGTTAGAGCCCAGAGAGCCCAAGGTCTGATTCTGTGTTCTGCAATCCCAAGGAAGTCCTGGCCCTAAATGTTGGGCCTCAGTTTCCTGGTTCTGAAGAGAGGGGCCAGTCAGCACAATCGTACATGAGGAATAGGAAAGTTTATTTCTGGGGGATTGGCAAGATGAATGGATGGCTCCTGGGGTGCAAGGCTGGGTGACATTTGTAGACACTTTGTTTGTATTTATTTATTTTTTAGTAGAGACAAGGTCTCGTTATGTTGCTCAGGCTGGTCTTGAACTCCTGACCTCAAGCAATTCTCCCGCCTTGGCCTCCCAAAGTGCTGAGATTACAGGCGTGAGCCACTGCGCCTGGCTAAGTGTGTTATTTTGAGCAAGTAATTTCCCCCAGCTCAGCCTTAATTTCTGCATCTAAGACATGCATCTCGTCTCCTGGAATCAGGATCCCAGAGGTACCCTGAGGGACACACTCTCCAGACTAGAAGTTGTTTTTATTCTCATCTCATTTGAAGTGGGGGAGAATCATAACTGGATGGCCAGGAGGATTCAACCCAAGGGCCTGCCTGCTCTCTCTGCCAACACAGGGCCCCTCAAAACTAAGGAAAGAGCTCCCCTCTTTCAGCCCCGGTTGCCGGAAGAGTGAGTGAATAGTGGAAGGGATGAAACATACTTTTCCTAGTGATGAGTATGTGCTTTCCAACTCTGTGAGGACACGTCTGAATTTCTGAAACAAGATGAACCTGGTTCCACTTCAACACCTTTGCACTTGCTATTCCCCCTGCTGTCAATGCCCTTCACTCAGTGCTTCATATACCTGGCTTCTGGTCATTCAGGTTGCAGCTCAAGAGTTATGTCTTCAAAGAGGCCAGAAGCTCACCATCATCTCCCACAATGTAACCTCCTTTTGCTAGCTTCATAGCTTCATGACTCTCACTTCTCTCTGAAATTGTCTTTTTTTTTTTTTTTTTTTTTTGAGAAGGAGTTTTGCTCTTGTTGCCCAGGCTGGAGTACAATGGCACAATCTTGGCTCACCGCAACCTCCACCTCCCGGGTTCAAGCGATTCTTCTGTCTCAGCCTCCTGAGTAGCTGAGATTACAGGCATGTGCCACCACACCAGGCTAATTTTGTATTTTTAGTAGAGATGGGGTTTCTCCATATTGGTCAGACTGGTCTCGAACTCCTGACCTCAGGTGATCCGCCTGCCTTGGCCTCCCAAAGTGTTGGGATTACAGATGTAAGCCACGAGCCTGGCCTTTTTTTTTTTTTTTTTTTTTTTTTTGAGATAAGGTCTCACTGTCACTCCAGCTAGAGTGGAATGGTGCAATCATGGCTCACTGCAGCCTTGACCTCCCAGGCTCAAGTGATCCTCCCACCTCAGTGTCCCAAGTAGTTGGGACTACAGGCATGAGCCACCACTCCCAGCTAATTTTTAAACTTTTTGTAGAGACAAGGTCTATGTTGCCCAGGCTGGTATCAAACTTGTAGGCTCAAACAATCCACCCGCCTCCGCCTCCCAAAGTACTGGGATTACAGGCACAAACCACCATGTCTGGCCTGAAGTTTTTTTTTTTTTTTTTTTTTTTTTTGAGACTGATTCTCGCTCTGTCACCCAGGCTGGAGTGCAGTGGTGCGATCTTGGCTCGCTGCAACCTCCACCTCCTGGGTTCAAGCAATTCTCTGCCTCAGCCTCCCGAGTAGCTGTGATTACAGGCACCTGCTACCACACCTGGCTAATTTTTGTATTTTCAGTAGAGACGGGGTTTCACCATCTTGGCCAGGCTGCTCTTGAACTCTTGACCTCGTGATCCACCAGCCTCGGCCTCCCAAAGTGCTGGGATTACAGGCGTGAGCCACCACGCCTGGCCTGGTTTTTTATTTATTCATTTTCTCGTCTTTTTTGTCTGACATCTGTCTACTCTCATTACATACATCAGCTACACAAAGAAATTTTATGTCTTGTTCCTCCAGCATCTCCACAGTACCTAGCACAGTGCAACATATACAGTTGGGGTTCAATTAATACTTGTCAATGCAGGTGAAATTGAGAGGACAGACTTGGGAATCAGGCCTTGATTAAATCGTGCTTTGACCCTCCTCTCTGTAGCTATCTGCACTCCCTGGGCCTCACTTTCCTCCTCTGCGAAATGGACATATTCGGATAGTTGAGTAGATGTGCAACTATTGTAGATGAAAATAAATATTGCAATAAAGCCAGTAGCAGGGATAAAACTAAGTACATGGTGGCTGGGGTTACTATTATTAGTCTCCTGGGTGTGACTGTATTTATAGACTGGGGCTCTTGAGCCCTTTGCTGACTTCTGAAGAACCACACCTCCACCAGGCTCTAAGTCAGGGGTAGCTGGAAGCCACCCTGGCACACTTCCCCACAATGTCTATCTACAGCTCTAACCACTCAAGTGTTCACCTCTTCACCCTCCAGCTCCCAGCTCTCGCAGCTTGTCTTCACCGTTCCTCTTTCCTCTCCAAGGCCACCTGGACTCTCGCATTCCGGTCCTTTAAATTCTTTCTTCCTTCCCCGTCCCCTCCCCACAGGGGCGAAAGTTGCCCATTCCGTCAGACCACAGCTTCCCTCCTGTGGGGGGATGGGGCCGAGTGCTCAGGATGTGGTGACAGCGGAGGTGACTGGACATTTCTGTCCTCTGCCAGCGCCTTCCTCGCGGCTACCCCGGTTGGAGTCCCGCTGGCCATATAAGCCCTGGCTGTAGGGCTCTGTTCCCAGGGTGAAGGAAACTCTGGGCCTCTCCCGTGCCGGGAACGCCCAGTGTGTGGCGTGTGCACACAAGCCCGGCTGCAGTTCTTCACCATGTACGGAAAATGGGGGCACGGCCCAAAGGTTCTAACAGCCTTTTTTAGCCCGGCCCGTCCAGGGGCGCTGACTCACACCTTCCCCACTCCGCCCCAAAGGGGGCTCCAGGACCCCAGCCGGTGCCCGGAGAGTGGTAGCCTACGTGCCAGCAAAAGCTGGCAGACTAGGCCGGAAGTGGGAGACCGCAGGCCTCTGGCGAAGGAAGCTGCCCTGCTTCTAGGCTTCTAGCCTTGCTATCCCGACGTCAGCTGAGGGTCTGTATGATTCCGAGACAGGACTGTGGATACACTGGTGCAGTCCTGCCACGACAGGCTCACCTCTGCATTCTCCATGCCATGCACAATAATTTATGTGTGAGACCCTGTACACCTCCAAAAAGGTGAAATTAATGAATAAGGAGAGGAGCAGGAGACGGCGAAGAGAAAAAGAAAGCACGCCAGACTGAGGACCGGCAGAAGCAAAGATAACATGTGCAAGCAGGAAAGCAGCAGCACGAAGCTCGTCAGCGATTACTCAAGCAGGATCGACCCACCTGCTCCTTTACAGAGTGGCCCGGGCAGCCCCACCCCGCCTCGAGCGCCTGGCAAGTCAAGACCGGATCGAACCATTTTATTACCTCCCCCTCCCAGAACCAGAAGCGCAGGCTAGCCGGCTGGAAGGGTCGTACCACTGACGCTGCGAGGGGAGTGTGGTCAGAGCCACTGAGCAGCGGGTGGGGGGACCAAACCAAGTGGAAGCTCTTGGGGAGGTGCCAAGTGCCCAGCGGCCACACGCGCCGGATCCAGGTTGGGCGGTAACTAGTGAGCCCCGCGCTGTCAGAGGTAGGCTCAGTGTCTCCGCCTTCCGGCTGCCATCTCCTGAGCGAGCTGCGCTGCCCCCCGGACCCCTAGGGCCCGCGAGAGCCGTTCCTCGCTGGGCACTAGCCAGGGCCCCGGGGAACCCGGGATCTGGTCGTTGGGATCCTCAGCGCGGCGCTCAGGAGGAGAAACCGTGGGGCCATCGGCGGCCGCCTCTGGACTAGGCTCCGGGCTGCCCCGGGTCTTCTTGAGCGTCGTCCGGGATGGAGGGTGCTGAACTAGGGAAGTGCTGCTGCTGCGAGACCCCGTTACCTCCGGCCCTCCAGGATCTGGGCTGCGATCTGGCCATGACGGGACTACGGATTAGATTGGGTGGTGAAGTAGGGAAGGGAAATCCAGGCCTTTGGCTGAGGATGGACAGGAGAACCCAAAGGCTGCGGGAGATGAGACCCTGACCCTTAGAGAAATCTCCCCTCCAGGCCTTCTGGGATCGGCACCACCCCTCACAACCCCGACACCTCCTTTCCCGAGACCCCTCCCCTCCTGGATCCAGAACATGCCCCTCAGAAATCATTTCCCACAATCTCCAAAGGAAATCAAACCCCGCTCATCTAGGAGCCCCTGCTCTCTCCTCTCTCATCCCACCTCCGTTGACTCCCAAACCACCGACCCTTTGTTTTTCAGAACTAGACCCCCTACCCTCTGGATCCCCATCCCATTTTCCCCCGGCTAAGATCCACTCTGCCTTCGCCTCTGAGAACTAAGACCCTTCCTTCCAAACACTTGCTTTTATCCTAGACCCCTTCCCTTCTCTTCCCCCAGTACCTGGAAAACCCACCCTCTGAAATTCCTATCCTCGAGACTGACACCCCTCCCTGCCCCTACGTTATTCCTATCCTGGGACCCTGTACCCCTCCCTGCCCCTACTTGTGAGAATACCATGACCTCTTGCAGACCCTCCCCACAGAGACCACCAAACCCTTCCCACCCAGAATCTCAGCTTCTCCACTCTGTGAACCTCTCCCTTCTCCTCACTGATCTCTGACTTCTCTCCCTTGGGAAACCCACCAACTCCTTTTCGGGGCTCTCCCACCCCTCGAGGCTTGCCAGGGTGGGTCTCCAGAGGCCGACGAATAACCAGGTGGAGCTGGGGGCCTCCAGCTCGGATCCGCTCCACGGCCTGGGCATGGGTGAGGCCCTGCGTTGACTCTCCGTTGATGTGGAGCACGAGGTCCCCGACCTGGAGGAGTGCAATGCAGTCGTGTTGGAAAGGCAAAAGGAGAGCACCCCAACAAAGGCAGGGATAGCACCTACCAGTGGAAGGGGCTTCAGGGCTCACCTCCAAACGACCACAGCGCTGTGCTGGGCCATCCTTCAGCAGCCCGCGCACGGCCAGCGGAGTGTCCCCAGCTACATCCCGGCCCCCACCTAAGGTGAGGCCAAAGCCTGCGTAACCGCGAACCAGCTCCACAGAGAAATGACCAGAGGCCTGGGATGGCTTCGGAGCACTACGTGCCTTACCCTGGATCAATTGGGGAGGTGCGTTACATGTCTCTAACCAACGGTGCTGGAATAAAGGACACAGGTGTACATAGTTTGCCCTGAGGCAGGAGGCCTCCGATAGAAGGATGAGATGGTACCTGGGGCCGGTGATCCACAATAGTGGCATGAGGCAGGCGACTGTCTGTGACCTCTATGTCCGCAGAGTCCAGCACGCTAACAGCTGGGAGATAAAAGCAGTGGAGAGGGCTGTTGGGGGACATGCCATGGAAACTACCTAGGACCTGTTCCCTGAGTTAACATTCTAGCCTCATCTACTTGTCTTGCCCCTGCAGCTCATATACAAACTGGCCCACCATTTACGCACCATCCCCTCAAGTAATCTTAAAGGTTCTCAGCCCAAACAAATTAACTGTTCTGACCCCACCTTCTTAATAAACAATCCTGGGCTCAGCCATGTGAATAATCTTCCAGGCCTTCCTATCTCCCTCTAATAACACGCAGAACACATCCCTCAAACAACACCATTCGGCCCACCCTGGAGAATGCTACTCCAAAATTTGGCTCCTGAACCTTCCATAGCACGCCCTCTAATTAGCCTCTAACCCTCATCCCATTCCTGACATCTCAAGCCCCGCCCCCATGGGACTATAGGCTCCACCCCCGTGACTCACATTTCAGGCCTGCCCCTTCGCTGCGTGCCCGCCCCCCAAGCACTCTCCAGGCCCTGCCTCCTCAAAAAGGACCGCCGCCAGAACGGGGGTCCAGTTCCGCACTCTCATCTAATCTAGCCCTCGCCGACTGCAATAACCCTCAAGGAATATGCTAGAATAACCCCAAGGCTCCTCCCACTCGAAGCACCCTCCGATCCCCGCCCCAAGTCGCGCCCCTTGGCCCCACCCAAGACAGGGCAGTAGCTGCTGACCCCCCAGGCCTGTCCCACTGAACCCAACTCCTCTCCGAACCCTCCCCCAGCGGAGGCCCTGCGCCAGTCACTCACCCTCCTTCCGGCGCAGGCGCAATGTGGCGCCCGCCCTGCGTACCAGCGCTGCCACGTCGACCGCAGCTCGCGCCGCCAGGGGGCGCGCGTCCAACCGCGCCAGGAGCTGCCGGGCGCTAGGGCCCGCGAGCGGGGAGGGGCCGCGGCCTGCGCGCAAGAGGGGACAGGTCAACGCCGACCCTCGGCCTCGGCCAACCCCTATGCTTCCGGACGCTCGAAGACCTAGAAATGCCCCTCAGGATACCCGGCGACCCCTGGCCACTCCCTCGATAGTTTCGGAGGTCACTGCTGTCCCTCCCCTCACGCGATCCCCGACCGTCGCGGGTAGCCGGTGCACCCCCGCTTGCTCCCACGGTGTCCCTGGAGATCGCTGTTTGACTGCAATAGTCCTAGACACCTCCGAACACCCCGTGAGGTCCTCGACTGCCCCCTAATCACCCTGGATGCCCAACTCTTCGCCCGCGATATCTCAGGGGACCCCATTTCCCCAGATATCCTGGGAGAACACGGCCTGACCCCATAGCCCCGGAACCCCCAATTCCCCGTCTAAGTATCCTAGGCAACCGCTGCTACCCCCATGAATTCCCTCAGAGGGCCCGTTCCCCCCATGGCCCACATACCTCCAGAGTCCCCCTCCACAGGTCCCCAGGGGCCCCCAGCTCCCCTCCCCCCAGTTCACTAAGACCCTGAGTGCCCAGGTGTCCCCAGTGACCACGGGCAGACCCCTCCCCGCACATCTGCACGTCTCCCTGGAGACTCCTGAGAGCCCCTCCCCTGCTCTGGTGCGCGGCCCTTTCCCTCGTGTGTGGGTGTGGGTAGGGGACCTCCAGCCCAGCCTCCATCGCTGGGCCCCTGCCCCCTGCCACCTTCACTTGGGCGCCAGAGCCGCTCTGTTTACCACCTGTCAGAAGGAAAAGGTGTGGAGCAGACAGGCGGGACGGGGATGGCGGCGACTCGCCCTGTCCTTCCCCAACGACCCCAATCCCTGTACCTCCTCTGCTCCCCCTAGGGTCCGCGGCGTCCCCTGTGCGCGGCTCCATGGCCAGTAGTCCGCCGGGTGGACGCAGGGCTGCCAGCTACGAATTTTGAGCTCTGGGGCGCGCTCACCTGGCGGCCCGCCCAGGCCCTGGAGGCTGAAGCTGGCGGGTCCCGTGCCTGGCTCCCGGACCCGCGCGGTGACCTACCTGGCGGCCAGCAAGGAGGCCTGGCTGTAGGAGCCAGGAGGAGTGCTTGGCCTCACTCTGCTGCAGGCGCCGCACTCTGTTAACTAAAGGTCCTAGTTAGAATTTAAAAGCCTGACAATACCAACTGTTGCTGAAGATATGGAGGAAATGGAACTCCTATACCTCCGGTGGAAATGTAAAATGATATTGCAACTTTATTTATTTATTTAGAGACAGGGTTTCGCTCTTGTTGCCCAGGCTGAAGTGCAATGGCACGATCTCGGCTCACTACAACCTCTGCCTCCCGGGTTCAAGTGATTCTCCTGACTCAGCCTCCTGAGTAGCTGGGATTACAGGCATGCACCACCACGCCCCCCTAATTTTGTATTTTTAGTAGAGACGGGGTTTCTCCATGTTGGTCAGGCTGGTCTCGAACTCCCTAAAGTGCTGGGATTACAGGCGAGGCCCGCCTCAGCCTCCCAAAGTGCTGGGATTACAGGCGTGAGCCACTCGTGCCCGGCCTGCAACTTTAGAAAACAGTTTGGTAGTGTCTTTAAAAACTAAGCGTACACATATGAGCCAGCCATTCCACTCCTGCGTATTTATCTAAAAGAAAGCATACATTTACACAGCCTTGTCTTACAAATATTCATAGCAGCTTTATTTCCTGTCTTATTCATTTAGAACTACTGTAACAAAATATCGTAGACTGGGTGGTTTAAACAACATAAGTTTCTCACAGTTCTGGAAGCCGGAAAGTCCACGATCAAGGTGGTAGCCAATTTGGTTCCTGGTGAGGTCTCTCCTTTTGGGTTGCAGATGCTTGCCTTCTTGCTGTGTCCTCACATGGAATTAAGAGAGTGAAGGAGAGTAAAGGCGTGAGAGAGGCACACACAGAGAGAGGGAGAGATCTCTCTCTTCTGTTTCTTATAAGGTCACAGTCCTATCTGGTTAGGGCTCCACCTTAGTGACCTCATTTTACCTTAGTTGCCTCCTAAAGAAGCTATCTTCAGATACAGTCACATTGGAGGTTAGAGCTTTAACATATATATTTATGGCTGGGCACAGTGGCTCACGCCTGTAATCCCAGCACCTTGGGAGGCCAAGGCGGGTGGATCACCTGAGTTCAGGAGTTCAAGACCAGCCTGGCGAACATGGTGAAACCCCATCTCTACTAAAATATACAAAAATTAGCCAGGCGTGGTGTCAGGTGACTTAATCCCAGCTACTTGGGAGGCAGAGGCAGGAGAATCATTTGAGCCCGGGAGGCAGAGGTTGCAGTGAGTGGAGATCGAGCCATTGCACTCAAACCTGGGGGATAAGAGCGAGACTTCTCTCAAAAAAACAAAACAACAACAACAACAACAACAAATATATATATATATATATATTTATGGGTGGACACAATTCAGTCCATAATATTTGTTAATATCCAAAAACTGGAAATAACCCAAATGTCCATTAATAGTTGAATGAGGCCAGTAATCGCAGCACTTTGGGAGGCTGAGGTGGGAGGATCGCTTGAGCTCAGGAGTTGGTGACCAGCCTTGGCAACATAGTGAAAGATTGTCTCTATTTTAAAAACATAGAAACATTGTCTCTATTTTAAAAATGCTAATGCCTGTAATCCTAGCACTTTGGGAGGCTGGAGGTGGAGGCAGGAGGATTGCTTGAGCCCAGGAGTTTGAGACCAGCCTGGGCAACATAGTGAGACCCCATCTCTCAAAAAGAAAACAATTTTCAATGAAAAAAATAGATGAATAAATTAACAAACTATGGTATACACATACAGGGTAATACAACTCAGCAATAAAAAACAATGAAGGATTTGGATGAATCTCAAAAATAATTATGGTAAAACAAGCCAGACCCACGCTCCAAAAAAGCACATGCTGTATGATTTCTTTTATATAAAAATCTAATAAAATGCAAACTGATATACAGTGACAGAAAGTGGATTAGTGGTTGCCTGGAGGGAGGGGGCCAAAAGGGCAGGAAAGAGGAAATACAAAGGGCAGGAGAAAACTTTTGGCAGAGATAGTTATACTCAGTATTTCTTTTTTTTTTTTTTAAGTGACAGGGTCACATTCTGTCATGCAGGATGGATTGCAGTGGCACAATCATAGTTCATTGTAACCTCAAACTCCTGGGCTCAAGGGATCCTCCTGAGCAGATAGGACTACACATATGTGCCACAATGCCTGGCAAATTTTTTACATTTTTGTAGAGACTGGGGTGGGGGGGTCTCACTATGTTGTCCAGGCTGGTCTTAAACTCCTGGCTTCAAAAAATCCTCCCACCTCTGCCTCCCAATGTGCTGGGATTACAGAGGTGAGCCACCACACCCAGCCTGTTCAGTATCTTCACTGTAGTGATCGTTTCACTGACATAAACATATTCAAAACCTATCAAATTGAAGTCAATTATATCTCAACCCCTTCAAAACTTAAAACAGCTGGGTGTAGTGCATGCACCTGTAGTCCCAGCTACTTGGGAGGCTGAGGCACGAGGATCACTTAAGCCCAAGACTTAGAGGTTACAATGAGCTGTGATCATGCCACTGCACTCCACCCTCAGTGACAGAGCAAGACCCTGTCTTTAAAAAAAATAAAATATAAATTCTCAAAACAGGCTGGGCATGATGACTCACGCCTGTAATTCCAGCACTTTGGGAGGCCAAGGTGAGAAGATCACTAAGGCCAGAATTTTCAGACCAGCCTAGCCAATGTAGCAAGACTTTGTCTCTAATAAATAAATAAATACAATCTTTTGTTAAATTAATGAATTGGGTGGGGCTGTGAGAGAAATTGACTTAATTCTTGAATTACATGAGGCTAAAAGGGGTAATTAGGGTTTTTTTAAATGATTTTTTTTTTTTTTGAGACAGAGTTTCGCTCTGTCACCCAGGCTGGAGTGCAGTAGTGCGAGCTCGGCTCACTACAACCTCCATCTCCTGGGTTCAAGCAATTCTCATGCTTCAGCCTCCCAAGTAGCTGAGACTAAAGGCACCCACCACCACGCCCGGCTAATTTCTGCAGTTTTAGTAGAGACAAGTTTTCATCATGTTGGCCAGGCTGGTCTCAAACTCCGCCCATCTCTGCCTCCCAAGGTGCTGGGATTACAGGCATGACCCACCGTGCCCAGCTGGGTAATTGGGTTGTATTCACAAATGGATGAGGCTAAGAGGGGCATTGATTTGAATCCACAGTGGGGCAGGGCTAAGTGAGGGTTTGCTCCCCCATAGTGTCATTGTAATCAATATTAAAGATAAGCACCAACACTGCTACCAAATAGCTTGGCTTGGCACAACACCAGCAATTTGGAAGCTTTGTTCCGAACTCTCTTGACAGTCTTACCATGCATATCTCATCACCCCCACTTCCCAGAGAGGTACATTGAGGTGTCAGGCAATGCAGTGGCTGGAGTTCCTCCCTCATGTCTGCATCCTCTCTACACCCCTAACCCTGCCAGCAGCCTCAGTGACACATACACTACTCTCTGGCCCTGGAATTTCGGCCCTGCTGGTGTCAGCTCTCTCAGTGAACACCTATCCTGGGCCCCTGCCCCTGTAATTTCAGCCCTGCTGGTGTCAGCTGTCTCAGTGAACACCTATCCAGCATCCTGGGCCCCCGCCCCTGTAATTCACGTCCCCTGAGGATGTCCTTGGACCCCTTCATTCGTTCATGATTCCCCAAGCCTGAATACCTCCCAGCCTGGAAGCAGTTTCCCATCCAGTTGGCAAGCTCCCTGATCGATGTTAGTAGATTCTACCTGGTGCTTGGATGCCTCCCCTCACTGTCCATCTGTCCTCGGCCCTTGGACAATGCCCCAGTCTGCAAGACCCTCCCATGCATGGAGCTACAGAGCCTCAAGCTCTCCTTCACAGTGTGTAAGCACCTCACTCTCACATCCACAGGTTCTTAAAACCTGGAGCCCCAGATTGGAAGCTGCCCTCTCCAGATTCAGGTGTGGAAGTCTCAACAAGAATTGGGAGGAGCAGTGAAGGAGGTCCAGGGTGTCCCCCCTTAGACAAGGTCAGGTCAGAGGTGAAAGAGGCAGGGGACTGCAGGTGGAATGAAAGCAGGAACCGTTCAGACCCTTTCACCTATGAGGATACTGGGTCTCTGAAAGGTGAACGGAGAGGCTTGCACAACCAGCCAGAATGGACATTAGGACACAGTGTGTCCACAGCCATAGTGAAATAGTCACTAACCAAGTGAGTCTTGTAGGTAAGCTGCCTGAAACTGGTGTTGTTGGCTTGCTGCAGGGACCTAGGCAGGTCCCTGAGCCTCTCAGACCCTGAGTTTCTTATTTGGCAAAGTAGTGGTGAAAGGCCCTCTCTCACTGCAATCCCATTCCTCCTTCCACTACAGTCACACTGTGTCCGAATGCTCCCTGCTTGGGGCTTATGTCCCCAGACACTCCCCTTTTCAAACATAGAAGAGGCCTCATTCCTCCACTGACATCAGCTAGTGTCCCATCCAACTCCAATGCATTCATTCACAGCCTCCTCAATTTTGGGTCCCATCTCTCATCCACTCTCCAAGGGACCTGCCCTCTGCAATTTTTTTTTCTTTTCTTTTCTTTTTCTTTTTCTTTTTTTTTTTTTTTTTCTTGAGAGGGAGTCTTGCTCTGTCACCCAAGTTGGAGTGCAGTGGAACGATCTCAGCTCGCTGCAACCTCCGCCTCCCAGGTTCAAGCGATTCTCTTGCCTCAGCCCCCCGAGTAGCTAAGATTACAGATGCCCACTACCACACCTGGCTAATTTTTATAATCTTAGTAGAAATGGAGTTTTGCCATGTTGGCCAGGCTGGTCTCAAACTCCTGGCCTCAAGTGATCCACCTGCCTTGGCCTTCCAAAGTGTTGGGATTACAGGCATGAGCCACCGCGCCCAGCCCACCCTCTCCAATTTTTGAGTTCCGCAACCTCATAATGCCCAGAGCACCAAACCATTCTTTGGCTCCAAAAGCTCCAACGGTACTCAGTCCCACCACACATTTCCAGTTTCCCAATAGGGACAGTGGGAGATAAACTTTCCCTGCAAATATACTGAGTGCCTACTTGTGCAAAGCTCTGGTGGAAATTGCAGAGTTTCCTAGTAAACTCGGGCTCCAGTTCTGCGTCCCTGCTTTTAGTTGTCAGAGGTCAGACAGTACCCTAATTTCTCTGGGCTTCGACTGCCCCTTCCTATGCTGGAATAGCAACATCCCAGAGTGGAAAAAGGAGCCAGCCCAGCGTCCTCAGCTAACGGAGGCCTCCTTGCTGGCCGCCAGATAGGCCACCCCGCAGATACAGGAACCAGGCACGGGCCCGCCACCCTGTTTCCAGGGTCTGAGCGGGTCACCAGGTGAGCACGCCCCAGAGCTCAAAACTCGTCGCTGGCTGCCCTGCGTCCACCCGGCCGACTACTGGCCATGGAGCCGCGCACAGGGGGCGCCGCGAACCCTAAGGGGAGCAGAGGAAGTACAGGGATTGGGGATGTTGGGGAAGGACAGAGCGAGTCGCCGCCACCCCCGTCCCGCCTGTCTGCTCCACACCTTTTCCTTCTGACAGGTGGTAAACAGAGCGGCTCTGGCGCCCAAGTGAAGGTGGCAGGGGGCAGGGGCCCAGCGATGGAGGCTGGGCTGGAGGTCCCCTACCCACACCCACACACGAGGGAAAGGGCCGCGCACCAGAGCAGGGGAGGGGCTCTCAGGAGTCTCCAGGGAGACGTGCAGATGTGCGGGGAGGGGTCTGCCCGTGGTCACTGGGGACACCTGGGCACTCAGGGTCTTAGTGAACTGGGGGGAGGGGAGCTGGGGGCCCCTGGGGACCTGTGGAGGGGGACTCTGGAGGTATGTGGGCCATGGGGGGAACGGGCCCTCTGAGGGAATTCATGGGGGTAGCAGCGGTTGCCTAGGATACCTAGAGGGGGAATTGGGGGTTCCGGGGCTACGGGGTCAGGCCGTGTTCTCCCGGGATATCTGGGGGAAATGGGTCCCCTGAGATATCGTGGATGAAGAGTTGGGCATCCAGGGTGATTAGGGGGCAGTCGAGGACCTCACGGGGTGTTCGGAGGTGTCTAGGACTATTGCAGTCAAACAGCGATCTCCAGGGACACCGTGAGAGCAGGCTGGGGGTGCACCCGCTACCCGCGATGGTCGGGGATCGCATGAGAGGGGAGGGACAGCAGTGACCTCCGAAACTACCGAGGGAGTGGCCAGGGGTCGCCGGGTATCCTGAGGGGCATTTCTAGTCTTTGAGCGTCCGGAAGCATGGGGGTTGGCGGAGGCCGATGGTCGGCGTTGACCTGTCCCCTCTTGCGCGCAGGCCTGGGCCCCTCCCGCCCGCGTGCCCCAGCGCCCTTCCGCTCCTGGCGCGGCTGGACGCGCGCCCCCTGGCTGCGAGGGCTGCGGTCGATGTGGCGGCGCTAGTACACAGGGCGGGCGCCACATTGCGCCTGCGCCGGAAGGAGGGTGTGTGACGGGGGTGGGGCCTCCCAGGGGGCAGGTTCGGAGAGGAGCTGGGTTCAGAGGAGCAGGCCTGGGGGGTCAGCAGCTACTGCCCTGCCTTGGGTGGGGCCAAGGGGCGCGATTTGGGAGGGCGGGGATCGGAGGATGCTTCGGAGGATGCTTCGAAGGATCCTTGGGGTTATCCTAGAATATTCCTTGAGGGTTATCGCAGTAGGTGAGGGCCAGATTAGTTGAGTGTGCGTAGCTGGATCCCCGTTCTGGTCGGCGGGGCCTTGAGGGTCCTTTCCGAGGGCTTGAGGCCTGGAGAGTGCTGGGGGCGAGCACGCAGCGAAGGGGCAGGCCTGAAATGTGAGTCATGGGGATGGAGCCTATAGGCCCATGGGGGCGGGGCTTGCGATGTCAGGAATGGGATGACGGTTAGAGGCTGATTAAAGGGTGTGCTCTGGAAGGTTCGGGAGTCAAATTTTTTTTATTATCATTATTATACTTTAAGTTCCAGGGTACATGTGCACAACGTGCAGGTTTGTTACATATGTATACATGTGCCATGTTGGTGTGTTGCATCCATTAACTCATCATTTACATTAGGTATATCTCCTAATGCTATCCCTCCCCCATCCCTCCACCCCACGACAGGCCCCGGTGTGCGATGTTCCCCACAGGAGCCAAATTTTGAAGTAGCATTCTCCAGGGTGGGCCGAATGGAGTTTGCCTGTGTGTGTGACCATATTTGGAGATAATCCTAAAGGTGTTATTTGAGAAATGTTTTCTGCGCTTTATTAAAGGGAGATAGGAAGATAAGGTCTGGAGGTGTTCAAATGGCCGGGCCCAAGATTCTTTAAGGAGGTGGAGCTTTGGGGATTACTTGAGATGAGGGTGGGGAGACAGTTTAATTGGAGGCGTGGCTCGGACGTAAATTCAAGGAGCTGCGGCTAGAAAGTGAATTTAAGGGGCGGGGCTGAGACAATTTCTATGGAGAGTCTCTAACCGCTTTCTCCGCCTCTTCAATCCCCTAGCCTTTATCGTTCTGGGCTGTAAGGACAATAATGTCATGGATAGTCGTCTGCCCCACAGACCCCCTTGCCTTTCATGCAGAGGTTCTATCATGACAAATACAGCCAGGCGTGAAAAACCTTGGGTACTTTTCTGGAGCTGTGAACAGTACGTGGCTCTGGAGTCTGCCTTAATGAACCTTGGGGGCGGGAGGCTTACAAGGGTATGGGGAAGGATGGAAGGTGAAGAAGGGCAGTGGACAAAGCTAGGCTGAAAACATAGCACAAGCCCTGAGCCAATATGGAGAATTGGGTAAGACTCCAAACTCTGGTGCTAGGCAGCCTGGGTTCAAGTCTGACTGCTTTTACCTGCTTCCTCACCTTCAGTATGTTATTTAAGCTCTTTGTGAAAAGCTTAGCTGCAGCCATACAAAAGAATGAGATCATGTCCTTTGCAGGGACATGGATGGAGTTGGAGACCATTATCCTTTACAAACTAACGCAGGAACAGAAAACCAAGTACTGCATGTTCTCAGTATAAGTGGGAGCTAAATGATGAGAACACATGAACACATAGAGAGGAACAATACACACTGGGGCCTATTGGAGATTGGAGGATGGGAGGAGGGAGAGGATCAGGAAAAATAACTAATGGTTACCAGACTTAATACCTGGGGGATGAAATAATCTGTACAACAAACCCCCATCACACACGTTTATCTATGTAACAAACCTGCACATGTACCCCTTAACTTTTTTTTTTTTTTGAGACAGAGTCTCGCTCTGTTGCCCAGGCTGAAGTGCAATGGCGCCATCTCGGCTCATTGAAACCTCTGCCTCCTGCCTCAGCCTTCTGAGTAGCTGGGATTACAGGTGCCCGCCACCACGCCCAGCTAATGTTTGTATTTTTAGTGGAGATGGGGTTTCACCATTTTGTCCAGTCTGGTCTTGAACTCCTGGGCCCAAGTGATCCACCCACCTCGGCCTCCCAAAGTGCTGGGATTACAGGCATGAGCCACTGCTCTGGGCCACCCCTGAAACTAAAAATTAAAAAAAAAAAATACTAGACCAGGCACGGTGGCTCACGCCTGTAATCCCAGCACTTTGGGAGGCCAAGGTGGGCAGATCACGAGGTCAGGAGATCGAGACGATCCTGGCTAACATGGTGAAACCCCGTCTCTACTAAAAATACAAAAAAAATTAGCTGGACATGGTGGCGGGCACCTGTAGTCCCAGCTACTTGGGAGGCTGAGGCAGGAGAATGGCATGAACCTGGGAGGTGGAGCTTGTGGGGAGCCGAGATTGCGCCACTGCACTCCAGCCTGGGCAACAGAGCCAGACTCCATCTCAAAAACAAATAAACAAACAAACAAACAAAACTAACAGAAAAGAGAAAGAAAGAAAAACTTAGCTACTCGAATGTAAACAAAATACATATATTCATGTTAAGAATCAGAACAACAACAAAAAACCAAAACCATGTAACCTGTATTTTTCTGAATCAACTTTCAGACTTTTTGTTTGAAATACAGGAGATCATGGGTAGAAAATTATTGCAATCTTTTAATAACTTTTTAATAGACATTGAGATATATATATAATTTACATACCATACAATTCACCCATTTAAAGTGTACACTTGGTTTTAGTATATTCACAAGATTGTGCAATCATCATCCCATTGTAAATTTAGAACATTTTTGTCTTCCTAAAAGAAACCCCATGCCAGTCGCAGTGGCTCATGTCTGTAATACCAACACTTTGGGAGGCTGAAGCAGGAGGATCACTTGAGCCCAGGAGTTCCAGACCAGCCTGGGCAACATAGTGAGACCCTGTCTCTCCTAAAAGTAAAAAATAAAGGTTGGGCATGGTGGCTCACGCCTTTAATCCCAGCACTTTGGGAGGCCAAGGTGGGCGGATCACAAGGCCAGGAGATCGAGACCATCCTGGCCAACATGGTAAAACCCCATCTCTACTAAAAATACATAAATTAGTTGGGTGCAGTGGCGCGTGCCTGTAATCCCAGCTACTCGGGAGGTTGAGCCACAAGAATCGCTTGAATCCAAGAGGCAGAGGTTGCAGTGAGCCGTGATCGTGCCACTGCACTCCAGCCTGGTGACAGAGCAAGACTCCATCTCAAAAAATAAATAAATCAAAAAAAAAAATAAAAATGTAGCCTGACATGATGGCAAATGCCTGTAGTCTAGGTACTTCAGGGGTTGAGGCAGAAGAATCACTTGAGCAGGAGAGGTGGATGTTACAGTGAGTCCTGATCACACCACTGCACTCCAGGCTAGGCAACAGAGCAAGACCCTGTCTCAATGAATGAATGAATGAATGAATGAATAAATAAATAAACCCTATAGCCTTTTTTTAGAGAGATGGGATCTTGCTATGTTGCCCAGGCTGGAGTGCAGTGGCTATTCACAGTTGCGATACCACTACTGAGAAGCACAGGAGTTTTGACCTGCTGTTTCCAGCGTGGGTAGATTCACCCCTCCTTAGGCAATCTGGTGGTGCCCAGTCCTGAGAGGTCACCATATTGATGACAAAGTTAGTGTGAACACCCAATCAGCATAGCACACTACAGCCCGAACTCCTGGACTCAAGTGAGCCACCTGCCTCAGACTCCCGAGTAGTTGAGACCGCAGGCACGGTCACAGAGTCTGCCCCACAACCTTTAGCTCTACTTCTCCAGCCCTTGGCAACCATTAACACACTATCTCTACGGATATGCTTATTCTCATTTCCTAAATATTGAATCATACAATATGTGGTCTTTTGTGATTTCCTTCCCAAGGCACAATGTTTTTGAAGTTCTATGTTGTAGCCTGTGCCAGTACCTCACTCCTTTATACTGCTAATTAATATTTCTTGTATGGGCATACCATATTTTATTTATACATTCATTGGTAAATGAACATTTGGATTGTTTCCACTTTTTGGCTATTATAAATAATGCTGCCCTGAACATTTGTGTATGAATTTTTGAGTGGACATATGTTTTCATTTATCTTGAGTATATACCTAGGGGTAGAATTGTTGGGTAAGTTTAACATTCTGAGGAGCTATTAAACTATATTCCAAAGTCACTGCAACATTTTACAATCCCACCAGCAATGTATGAGGTTCCCAATTTCTCCAAGTCGTCTCTAACACTTGTTATTGTCTATATATTTTTTTGAGAGAGGGTCTCGATCTGTTGCCCAGGCTGGAGTGAAGTGGCACCATCTCGGCTCACTGCAAAAAAAACCTCCACCTCCCGGGTTCAAGTGATTCTTGCACCTCAGTCTCCTCAGTAGCTGGGATTACAGGTGTGCATCCCCACACCTGGCTATTTTTTTATTGTATTTTTAGTAAAGACAGGGTTTTGCCATGTTGGCCAGGCTAGTCTAGATCTCCTGGCCTCAAATGATCCACCCACCTCAGCCTCGCAAAGTGCTGGAATTACAGGCATGAGCCACCACTCTCTGCCTTATCTGTATTTTATGTATTTATTTTTTTGACATGGAGTCTTGCTCCGGCCCAGACTGGAGTGCAGTGGTGTGATCTCACCTTAATGCAACCTCTGCCTCCCGGGTCCAAGCGATTCTCCCACCTCAGCCTCCCAAGTACCTGGGACTACAGGTGAGTGCCACCACACCCAGCTAATTTTTGTATTTTTAGTAGAGATGGGGTTTTGCCATTTTGGCCAGGCTGGTCTCAAACTCCTGACCTCAAGGGATTACCCACCTCAGCCTCCCAAAGTGCTGGGATTACAAGTGTGAGCCACCGTGCCTGGCCCCTTGTCTGTATTTTTTAATATAACATCCTAGTGGATGTGAGGTTGGATCTCATTATGGTTGATTTGCATTTTCCTAATAAATAATTATGTTTTTATATGCTTTAGATAAATGTTTTGATAGGCAGAACAATAAGCTCCCAAAGATGTTCACCTCCTAATCCCTAGAACCTGTGAATATGTTACCTTATATGGCAAAAGATACATTGCAGATGTGATTAAGGATCTTGAAATGGGGAGATTATCCTGGATTATTGAGGGGGGCAATATAGTCAAAGGAGTTCTTAAAAATAAAAGAGGATGCAGGAGAATCAGTGAAGAAAATATGACAAGGGATGAAAAGGAAATGTGAAGCAGGGGTGATAGAGAAAGATTTGAAGATGGAGGAAGTGCTAGCCGGGCACAGTGGCTAGCGGGCGGACCACCTGAGGTCAAGAGTTTGAGACCAGCCTGGCCAACATGGTGAAACCCCGTCTCTACTAAAAATACAAAAATTAGCCGGGCGGTGGCACACGCCTGTAATCCCAACTACTCGGGAAGGTGAGGCAGGAGAATTGCTTGAACCCAGGAGGCAGAGGTTGCAGTGAGCAGAGATCTCGCCATTGCACTCCAGCATGGGCAACAAAAGCGAAACTCCATCTCAAGAAAAAAAAAAGAAGAAAAAGTGGCCGGGCGCGGTGGCTCACGCCTGTAAGCACAGCACTTTGGGAGGCCGAGGCGGGCAGATCACGAGGTCAGGAGATCGAGACCACAGTGAAACCCCGTCTCTATTAAAAATACAAAAAATTAGCCGGGCGTGGTGGCAGGCGCCTGTAGTCCCAGCTATTTGGGAGGCTGAGGCAGGAGAATGGCGTGAACCTGGGAGGCGGAGCTTGCAGTGAGCCGAGATCACGCCATTGCACTCCAGCCTGGGTGACAGAGCGAGACTCCGCCTCAAAAAAAAAAAAAAAGAAAAGAAAAAGAAAAAGATGGAGGAAATGGCCACATACCAAGGAATGCAGGCCACCTGTAGAAGCTTAAAAAGGCAAGGAAAACAGATTCTCCACAAGGAAGGCAGCCCTGCTGACACCTTGATATTAGCCTGATGAGAATTCTGCCCTACAGAACTGTAAGACATTTTGTGGTGTTGTTTCAAGCCAGTAAATGTATGGTAATTTGTTAGAGCAGCAATCAGAAATTAATACAGATTTTAAGCATCTTTTCATTGTGCTTATTGGCCATTTGTGCATGTGTATATACATATATATATATAAATACATTGTGTGTGTGTATATATGTATATATATATATATATGAGACAGAGTCTTGCTCTGTCACCCAGGCTGGAGTACAGTGGCACGATCTCAGCTCACTGCAACCTCCCCTCCCTGGGTTCAAGGAATTCCCCCTGCGTCAGCCTCCTGAGTAGCTGGGATCACAGGCATGCGCCACCACACCAGCTAATTTTTGTATTTGTAGCAGAGATGGGGCTTCACCATGTTGGCCAGGCTGGTCTTGAACTCCTGACCTCAGATGATCTGCCCACCTCAGCCTCCCAAAGTGCTGGGGTTACAGGCGTGAGCCACCGCACCCAGCCAATTTTGAGCTAACTTTTAAAAAATTATTTATTTGTCGCCAGGTTGGAGTGCAGTGGTGCAATCTCGGCTCACTGCAAGCTCTGCCTCCCGGGTTCATGCCATTCTCCTGCCTCAGCCTCCCGAGTAGCTGGGTCTACAGCCACCCGCCACCACACCTGGCTAATTTTTTGTATTTTTAGTAGAGATGGGGTTTCACTGTGTTAGCCAGGATAGTCTCAATCTCCTGACCTTGTGATCTGCCTGCCTCGGCCTCCTGAAGTGCTGGGATTACAGGCATGAGCCACCGCGCCCAGCCTTTTTTTTTGGAGATGGAGTCTTGCTCTATTGCCCAGGCTGGAGTGCAATGGCGCGATCTCAGCTCACTGCAACCTCCGCCTCCTAGGTTCAAGCAATTCTCCTGTGTCAGCCTCCTGAGTAGTTGGGATTACAGGCGCGCACCACCATGCCTGGCTAATTTTTGTATTTTTGGTAGAGACAGGGTTTCACCATGTTGGTCAGGCTGGTCTCAAACTCCGGACCTCGTGATCCACCTGCTTCGGCCTCCCAAAGTGCTGGGATTACAGGCGTAAGCTACTGCACCCGGCCCTGAATGCCTATTTTTTCTTGCCTAATTGCCGTGGCTAGAACTTCTAATATGATATTGAATAGAAGGAGCAAGAGCAGACGCTCTTGTTTTGTTCCTGATCTTAGGTGGAAGGTATTCAGTCTTTCACCATTAAATATGATTTTAGCTGTCTTCTGGGCTCTCTTGTTTCTGATGAGAAGTCAACTCTTAATCTTATTGGAGTTTCCTTATAGGTGACAGGTCATTTTTCTATTTGTGCTTGCAAGATATTCTCTTTGGATTTCAAGATTTTTGACCATGATGTGCCTGAGTGTTTTGTCCTGTCTAACCATGGCTGGAATCTCTCAAAAATGAGCAGTAAGGGAGTTCCCACAAGGGAGTGGCTGAAATTGAGGAGAGAGGCCATTTCTCCTACTGTCCCCTGTCTCCAAAGAAAAGGAGGAAGTAAAAACTGAAAAATAACAGACTGATCGGCACCACTGGCCAGGCCTGTAGGTTAAAGATTAACCCACAACCTAACCGCTTGTGATATCTATATATCACAGACAATGGTATGGAGAAACACTTGCCTTGCTCACCACCCCCACCTAGTCATGTACCCCATGCTTGTTCAATCTATCACGACCCTTTCACGTGGACCCCTTAGAGTTGTAAGCCCTTAAAAGGGCCAGGAACTCTTTCTTAGGGGGGCTTCGTTCTTGAGACGCATGTCTGCCAACGCTCCTGACCAAATAAAGCCTCTTCCTTACATTTCTTGGTTCCCTGACCGGGAAGCGAGGTGATTAACGATGGTCGAGGCAGCCCCTTAGGCGGCTTAGGCCTGCCCTGCGGAGCATCCCTGCAGGGGACTCCGGCCAGTTTGAGCAACGCGGATCCTGAGAGCACTCCCGGGTAGGCATTTGCCCTCGTGGAACACCTCGTCAGAGCGGTGCATGGCAGGCCCCCACAGAGGATCAATGCAGCGGCTGAACACCAGGAAGGAACTGGCACTTGGAGTCTGGACATCTGGAATATGGTAGGACCAGTCCTGGGAACTTACCCACTCCATTTGAGTGGAAGCGTGGCCTGATCACCCACAGTGTGCCCTTATCGGCACTTTGGTCTCAGTTTTGATTATGATTTGGCTTGGCTTGTTTGAAAAAAAGGAAAGTGAAAGTGAGTGAATGCTTGTTTTAGACGGGCACAGGATGGACAGTGGTCGCCATCCAAAGTGAGCGTTGAGCCCCAAGCTGCAGTTCCGTAGGATACCTCACATGGCTAAGTGGCAGTTCGTGCTGGCGCCTGGTACCAGCCTGCTTAAGCTAAGAGGATCTGAGATTCCCGCGAGGGAAGCGGCCAGTGACTGCCGAGGAGAGTGGGTGACCCCTTTACCCTTTCCCTTCTTGTGTCGTGAGTGCCATTTTTGTCTTGGGTGGGGGTGGAGATGGGTGAGACGCAAAGTAAGACCACTCCATTAGGAACTATGTTAAAGAATTTCAAAAAAGGTTTTAATGGAGATTATGGGGTTACTATGACCCCAGGAAAACTTAGGACCTAAGTGAGATAGATTAGCCAGCATTAGAAGTGGGTTGGCCATCAGAAGGAGGCCTAGACAGGTCCTTTGTTTCAAAGGTATGGCACAAGGTAACTGGTAAGCCAGAAAACCCAGACCACTTTCCATACATAGACACTTGGTTACAGCTGGTTTTAGACCCCCTACAGTGGTTAAGAGGACAGGCAGCAGCAGTACTAGTGGCAAAGGGACAGACAGCCAAGGAAGAATCCCGCTTCACCCACTGAGGGAAGTCGGCGCCTAAAGTCCTGTCCGACCCAACATCAAAGGATTCATGGCAAGAAACAGTGCCAGTGGCCCCTCCTTTCACCAAGAAAGAAGGCCTCCCACTCCTGAGGCCACTGTGCCCAAGCTTCCACAAGGCCTACATACCCCTAGGCCACCTAGAGTAGAAAAGAAAGGATGCAAGACCTCAGGAGAAACTCCTCACTTGGTAGCCCATTTGAGGCCTAAAACTGGGATACAAATGCCCCTGAGAGAGCAACGGTATACTGGGGTAAACGAGGACGGGCATATGGTGGAAAGGCGTGCCTTTGTGTACCAACCCTCCACCTCTGCCAATCTCCTCAATTGGAAAAACAATACCCCATCCTATACTGAAAAGCCTCAGGCTATAATTGATTTGCTCCAAACTATTATCCAGACCCACAACCCTACTTGGGCTGATTGCCACCAGTTGCTCATGTGCCTGTTTAACACGGATGAACGGCGAAGGGTGCTCCAAGCAGCGACTAAGTGGCTAGAGGAACATGTTCCGGCTGATTACAAAAACCCCCAAGAGTATGTGATGGCCCAGTTACCAGGAACAGACCCCCAGTGGGACCCAAATGAAAGACAGGGTATGCAAAGGCTAAACTGGTAGAGGGAAGCCCTCCTGGAAGGGTTAAAGAAAGGAGCTCAGAAGGCCACCAATATAAATAAAATATCTGAGGTTATTCAAGGAAAGGAAGAGAGTCCAGCACAATTTTACGAGAGACTATGTGAGGCCTATTGTATGTATACTCCCTTTGATCCCAACAACCCTGAAAACCAGCGCATGATTAACATGGCTTTAGTTAGTCAAAGTGCAGAAGACATTAGAAGAAAACTACATAAGCAGGCTGGGTTTGCAGGCATGAACACTTCACAGTTATTGGAGATAGCCAACCAGGTGTTTGTGAATAGAGATGCTGTAAGCCGCAGAGAGAACTGCAGAGAGAGCGAACGCCAAGCCCAGCGAAACGCCGACCTGCTAGCCACAGCAATAGAGGGGTCCCCCCCGAAGGGGCGAGAAAGGGGGGCCCCAGGAAAAATACCCAGTCCGGCCATCCACGCTTGCAGCGTAACCAGTGTGCTTACTGTAAGGAAATGGGATGTTGGAAGGACAAGTGCCCCCAGTTGAAAGGGAAACAAGGTGACTGAGCAGGAGGCCTCAGACAAGGACGAAAGGGCCTTGTTTAATCTGGCAGAAGGGTTACTGGACTGAGGGGGACTAGGCTCATGTGCACCCAAAGAGCCCATGGTCAGAATGACAGTCGGGGGCAAGGACATTGAGTTTCTTGTCGATACTGGTGCTGAACATCCAGTAGTAACCACCCTGGTCGCCCCCTTATCCAAAAAGACTATTGATATAATCAGAACCACGGGGGTTTCGGCAAAGCAAGCTTTCTGTTTGCCCTGGACCTGCACTGTCGGGGGACATGAGGTAATTCACCAGTTCCTGTACATGCCTGACTGCCCCTTGCCTTTACTGGGAAGGGACCTACTTAGCAAGCTGAGAGCCACTATCTCTTTTACAAAGCATGGCTCTTTACAGCTAAAGTTACCTGGAAAGGGAGTCATCATGGCCCTTATGGTTCCTCGGGAGGAGGAATGGAGACTCTTCTTAGCTGAGCCAGGCCAAGAGATAGGACCAGCTCTGGCTAAGCGGTGGCCAAGGGTGTGGGAGGAAGACAACCCGCCAGGGTTGGCAATCAACCAGGCCCCCATACTAATAGAAGTTAAGCCTGGGGCCCAGCTGGTCAGGCAAAAGCAGTACCTGGTCCCCAGAGAAGCCCTTGAGGGCATCCGGGTCCATCTCAAGCATCTGAGGGCCTTTGGAATTATAGTCCTTTGTCAGTCTCCATGGAACACTCCCCTCCTACCTGTTCCCAAGCTGAGGACCAAGGACTACAGGCCAGTACAGGATTTGCATATGGTCAACCAAGCAAAGTGACTTTGCATCCAACCCATACACATTGTTGGGGTTGCTGCCAGCTGAGGACAGCTGGTTCACCTGCTTGGACCTAAAAAATGCTTTCTTTAGCATCAGACTATCTCCTGAGAGCCAAAAACTGTTTGCCTTTCAGTGGGAGGATCTGGAGTCAGCTGTCACCACTCAGTACACTTGGACCCGGCTCCCCCAAGGGTTCAAGAACTCCCCCACCATCTTCGGGGAGGCACTGGCTCGAGACCTCCAGAAAATTCCCACCAGAGACCTAGGCTTCGTGCTGCTCCAGTACGTTGACAACTTCCTGCTGGGACACCCCATGGCAGTCATGTGTGCCAAGGGAATGGATACCCTGCTCTGGCACCTGGAGGACTATAGGTATAAGGTGTCCAAGAAGGAAGCTCAGATCTGCAGATAGCAGGTATGTTACCTGGGATTTACTATCCGACAGGGAGAGCACAGCCTGGGATCAGAAAGAAAGCAAGTCATCTGCAACCTGCTGGAGCCTAAGACCAGAAGGCAGGTGAGAGAATTCTTAGGAGCTGTAGGGTTCTGCAGATTGTGGATCCCAAACTTTGCAGTATTGGCTAAGCCCCTGTACGGAGTCACAAAGTGAGGAGACACAGAACTTTTCAAATGGGGGTCCCAACAGCAATGAGCTTTTCATGAGTTAAAAGAGAAACTCATGTCGGCCCCAGCCCTGGGGCTACCTGACCTAACAAAACCTTTCACACTGTATGTGTCAGAGAGAGAAAAAATGGCCATTGGAGTTTTAATCCAGATGGTGGGGCCCTGGCCAAGACCGGTAGCCTACCTCTCCAAAGAGCTAGATGGAGTTTCTAAGGCAAGGTCTGAAAGATGCGAGATGTAGAAGTACCAGCCTAACAACTTTTCAAGTGACTCTTGGCCTAGGTGGGTGGTCTCATGCACAGCCAGTATGACTGCGGCTCCTAGCAGTTGTGGCATGGCTATTCTTCCATCCGACAACTGGATCCATCCCTCTTCTATCACCTGCCCTCCCTCTGCCTGGAGAAAGTCCAGGCAGGATGAATTGCTGGTGAATTATCTCATGCCCCCTGACAGTGCAGGTCTGGGGCAAACAGAAAGCTTGCTTTGCCGAAACCCCCGTGGCTCCAATTATATCAATAGTCTTTTTGGATAAGGGGGCGACTGGGGTGGTTACTACTGAATGTTCAGCACCAGTATCGACAAGAATTATCTGTCGATAATTGAGCCTGGCCCCTGTGCTTAAGAGCCTTGGCAGCAACTGCCCTGCTAGCACTAGAGGCAGATAAGCTACCTCTTGCCCTAACTTTATGTTTAGGGCAAAACCTAAACATAAAGGCCCCCTAGCTGGGCACGGTGGTTCACGCTTGTAATACCAGCACTTTGGGAGGCTGAGGCGGGCGGGTCATGAGGTCAGGAGATCGAGATCATCCTGGCTAACACGGTGAAACCCCATCTCTACTAAAAATACAGAAAAATTAGCCGGGCATGGTGGCGGGCGCCTGTAGTCCCAGCTACTCGGGAGGCTGAGGCAGGAGAATGGCGTGATCCCGGGAGGCAGAGCTTGCAGTGAGCCAAGATCGCACCACTGCACTCCAGCCTGGGCAACAGAGTGAGACTCCATCTCAAAAAAAAGAAAAAACATAAAGGCCTCCCCATGCTGTGGTAACACTAATGAACACCAAAGGACGTAACTGGCTAACGAATGCTAGACTAACTAGGTACCAAAGCTTGCTCTGTGAGAATCCCCGCATAACCATTGAAGTTTGCAACACCCTGAACCCCGCCACCTTGCTCCTGGTATCAGAGAGCCAAGTTGAACATAACTGTGTAGAGGTGTTGCAGTCAGTTTATTCTAGCAGGCCCGACCTCCGAGACCATCCTTGGACAACAGTAGACTGGGAGCTGTACGTGGACGGGAGCAGCTTTGTCGACCCACAAGAAGAGAGGTGTGTAGGATATGGTAATCCTGGATGCTGTCATTGAAGCCAAATCGTTGCCCTAGGGCACTTCAGCCCGCAAGACCAAACTCATTGCTTTAATTCTGGCCTTTGAGCTAAGTGAAGGTAAGACTGTAAACATTTACACTGACTCTTGGTATGCCTTTTTAACTCTCCAACTGCGTGGGGCATTCTACAAGGAAAAAGCCCTGTTGAACGCTGGGAGAAAAGACATAAAGTATCAGCAAGAGATCCTGCAATTATTAGAGGCAGTGTGGAAGCCCCAAAAGGTGGCTCATGCACTGCAGAGGACACCAGCGAGCTTCTACCTCGATTGCCTTGGGGAACCCCCAAGCTGACTCAGAGGCTCGAAAAGCAGCATCCACCCCCTACCAGGCATCAGTCACAGCCCCCTGCTCCCTCAGGCACCTGACCTTGTACCTACTTATTCTAAAGAGAAGGACTTTCTCCAGGCAGAGGGAGGGCAGGTGATAGAAGAGGGATGGATCCAGTTATCGGATGGAAGAATAGCTGTGCCACAACTGCTAGGAGCCGCAGTCATACTGGCTGTGCATGAGACCACCCACCTAGGCCAAGAGTCACTTGAAAAGTTGTTAGGCTGGTACTTCTACATCTTGCATCTTTCAGCCCTTGCCAAAACAGTGGCGCAGCAGTGTGTCACCTTCTGGCAGCACAATGCTAGGCAAGGTCTAACCATCCCCGCCAGCATACAAGCTTATGGAGCAGCCCCTTTTGAAGATCTCCAAGTAGACTTCACCAAGATGCCCAAATGTGGAGGTAACAAGTATTTGCTAGTTCTAGTGTGTACATACTCTGGGTGGGTGGAGGCCTATCCAACACGGACCGAGAAAGCTCGTGAAGTAACCCATGTGCTTCTCCGAGATCTCATCCCTAGGTTTGGACTGCCCTTACAAATCAGCTCAGACAACGGGCCGGCATTTGTGGCTGACTTGTTACAGAAGACAGCAAAGGTATTGGGGATCACATGGAAACTACATACCACCTACTGACCACAAAGTTCCGGAAAGGTGAAGCAGATGAATCGCACTATCGGAAATAGTTTAGGGAAAGTGTGTCAAGAAACAGGATTAAAGTGGGTACAAGCTCTCCCTATGGTATTATTTAAGATTAGATGTACCCCTTCTAGAAGAACAGGATATTCCCCTTATGAAATATTATATCATAGGCCCCCTCCCATACTACGGGGACTCCCAGGCACTCCTCGAGAGCTAGGTGAAATTGCGTTACAGCGACAGCTACAGGCTTTAGGGAAAATTACACAATTTCAGCCTGGGTAAATGAGAGGTGCCCCGGCAGCTTATTCTCCCCAGTTCACCCTTTCTCCCCAGGTGATCAGGTGTGGATCAAGGATTGGAACATAGGCTCCTTGCGGCCACGGTGGAAAGGACCCCAGACCATCATCTTGACCACTCCCACAGCCGTAAAGATAGAGGGAATCCCAGCCTGGATCCAACACAGCCAGGTAAAACCTGCAGCACCTGAGACCTGGGAGGTGAGACCAAGCCTAGATAACCCCTGCAAAGTGACTCTGAAGAAGATGACAAGCCCTGCTCCAGTCACACTCAGAAGCTGACTGGTCCACGCATGGCCAAAGCATGAGAAAACTCATCGTGGGACTCATTTTCCTTAAATTTTGGACTTGTACAGTAAGGACTTCAGCTGACCTTCCTCAGACTGAGAACTGTTCCCAGTCACTAAGGTAGGACAAAATCAAGTCACTAAGGTAGGACAAAAGGTTGCTGCAGTCCTATTATTTTATAGTTAGTATGAGTGTACTGGGACTCTAAAAGGAACTTGTTTGTATAATGCTACTCTATACAAGGTATGTAGCCCAGGAAGTGACCAGTCTGATGTGTACTATAACCCATCTGAGCCCCCCTATGACTACTGTTTTTGAAATAAGATCGAGGACTGGCAGCTGGGGAAAAGCTGATACTAGTAAAGTAATAACTAGAACAGAAGAGAAAGGAGTCCCCAAACAAATTATCTTAAAATTTGATGCCTGTGCAGCAATCAACAGTGACCCATATGGAAATAGAATAAGATGTGGCTCTCTAGATTGGGAAAGGGGCTATATAGTAGAAAATAAGTATGTTTGTCATGAATTAGGACTGTGAAGTGATGAATGTAGTTACTGGTCCTGTGTCATTTAGGCCACCTGGAAAAAAAGATGAGAAGGACCCTGTCCGCCTTCAAAAAGGAAAGAGTAACTCTTCCTGCACTAGTGGTCACTGTAACCCATTGAACTACTAATTACCAATCCCCTTGATCCCTGCTGGAAAACAGGAGAGTATGTAACTCTAGGAATCGATGGAACTGGACTGGATCCCTGAGTAAATATTTTAGTCCAAGGGGAGGTCCACAAGCGATCTTCCAAACCAGTGTTTCAGACCTTTTATGATGAGCTGAATCTGCCAGCACCAGAGCTTCCACAAAAAAGGACAAAGAACTTGTTTCTCCAGTTAGCAGAATATGTAGCTCATTCCCTCAATGTTACTTCCTGTTATGTATGTGAGGGAACCACTATGGGAGACTGATGGCCTTGGGAAACCCAAGAATTAGTGCCTACTGATCCAGTTCCTGACATAATTCCAGTCCAGAAGGCCCAAACTAGCAACTTTTGGGTCTTGAAAACCTCTATTAATGGACAATACTGCATACCTAGAAAAGGAAAAGACTTCACCATCCCTGTAGGAAGGCTCAATTGTCTAGGACAGAAGCTGTATAAAAGCATAACAGGGACACAGGGACAGTCACCTGGTGGGGTCTAAACCATACTGAAAATAATCCCTTCAGTAAATTTCCTAAATTACAGACTGCTTAGGCCCATCCACAATCTCATCAAGACTGGATGGCTCCCGCTGGACTATACTGGATATGTAGGCACAGAGCCTACACTCAGTTACCTGATCAATGGGCAGGTAGTTGTGTCATTGGCACCATTAAGCCATCCTTTTTCCTACTGCCCATAAAAACAGGTGACCTCCTAGGTTTCCCTGTCTATGCCTCCCAAGAAAAGAGGAGCATAGCTATAGCAAATTGGAAAGATGATGAGTGGTGCCCCGAAAGGATCATACAGTACTATAGGCCTGCCACATGGGCACAAGACGACTCATAGGGATACCATACCCCCATCTACATGCTCAACTGGATCATACGGTTACAGGCCATCTTAGAAATAATCACTAGTGAAACTGGCAGAGCTTTAACTCTTTTAGCCCAGCAGGAAACCCAAATGAGAAATGCCATCTATCAGAATAGATTGGCCTTAGACTATTTGCTGGCAGCTGAAGGAGGAGTCTGTGAAAAATTCAACTTGACCAAGTGCTGTCTGCAAAGAGATGATCAAGGACAAGTAGTCAAAAATATAGTTAGAGACATGACAAAGCTGGCACATGTACCCATGCAGGTTTGGCATAGGTTTGATCCTGGATCCCTGTTTGGAAAATGGCTTCCAGCTCTAGGAGGATTTAAAACTCTTATAATAGGAATGATAATGGTGTTAGGAACCTGCATGTTACTCCCCTGTATGTTACCCATATTTCTCCAGTTACTAAGAAGCTTCGTTATCACCTTAGTTCATCAAAAGACCTCAGCACAAGTATACTACATGAATCACTATTGATCTGTCTCACAGGAAGATCTAGATAGTGAGGATGATAATGAGAACTCCCACTAGTGAGTGAGGTTCTCAAAGGGGGGAATGAGGAGAGAGGCCATTTCTCCTACTGTCCCCTATCTCCAAAGAAAAGGAGGAAGTAAAAACTGAAAAAATAACAGACTGATCAGCACCACTGGCCAGGCCCGTAGGTTAAAGATTAACCCACACCCTAACCGCTTGTGCTATCTATAGATCACAGACAATGGTATGGAGAAACACTTGCCTTGCTCACCACCCCCACCTAGCCATGTACCCCATGCTTGTTCAATCTATCACGACCCTTTCATGTGGACCCCTTAGAGCTGTAAGCCCTTAAAAGGGCCAAGAACTCTTTCTCTGGGACTCAGTTCTTGAGACGCAAGCCTGCCGATGCTCCTGGCCGAATAAAGCCTCTTCCTTCTTTAACCCAGTGTCTGAGGGGTTCTGTCTGCGGCTCGTCCTGCTACAAAATGATCCTGAGATGGGATGAGTTGGGATTCCAAAAACAGAAGCACTAAATGCCAGGGCGATAAGCCCAAAATGCATATTGGGGGAATTTACATACAGAGTGCTGCAGAGACAGATCGCTTGTGGACCTCCCCTTGGACTAAAATATTTACTCAGGGATCCAGTCCAGTTCCATCGATTCCTAGAGACAGCACTCTGTCCTTATGAGGGACAATGAGAGAAAAGGGGTGTTCTACTTAGGTATGTCCACAGCCAAAGGGTCACGGTATGGAGTTTATATGAGGCTTTAAGGAATTTGTTCAGGGCTAGGGTCAGTTTCTTTCAGTGCTTGGGCAACAACCCAGATACCTTTATCAGTGCCTGGGAATGTTCAAGGCCTTGGTTTGGGTTCAAGCCTGCTGAGAAAAACCTGCAGCTCGCTGGGTGGAAGAATGGCCAAAGCACTCTGTGATTTTAGGTCAGAACACAAAAAGAAAGGAGGAGGAACTCAGGGATCCTACACTAGGTGTGGACCTCTTTGCATTTATCTTACTTGTTCATTGAACTTCTTGGATGTGTAGATTAAAATTTCTCCATCAGGGACCCACGTGGTGACTCATGCCTATAGTCCTAGTACTTTGGGAGGCTTAGGTGGGCAGATCACTTCAGGTCAGGAGTTCAAGAGCAGCCTGACCAACATGGTGAAACCCTGTCTTTACTAAAAATACAAAATTAGCCAGGCATGGTGGTACATGCCTGTAATCCCAGCTACTCAGGAGGCTGAGGCAGGAGAATCGCTTGAACCCAGGAGGCAGAGGTTACAGTGAGCCGAGATTGCGCCATTGCCCTCCAGCCTGGGCAACAAGAGTGAAACTCCGTCTCAAAAAAAAAAAAAAAAAAAAAAAAGGCCAGGCACAGTGGTTCACGCCTGTAATCCCAGCATTTTGGGAGGCCAAGGCGGGTAGATCACCTGAGGCCAGGAGTTTGAGACCAGCCTGGCTAATATGGTGAAACCCCATCTGTAGTAAAAACTACAAAAACTAGCTGGGAGTGGTGGTGGGCACCTGTAATCCCAGCTACTCGGGAGGCTGAGGCAGAGAATTGCTTGAACCCGGGAAGTGAAGGTTGCAGTGAGCTGAGATCACGCCACTGCACTCCAGCTTGGGCAACAGAGCGAGACTTCGTCTCAAAAAAAAAAAAAAAAAAAAGGGAAGAAAGAAAGAAAGAAAGAAAGACAAAAATTAGCTTAGCATGGTTGTGGGCACCTGTAATCCCAGCTGCTCAGGAGGCTGGGGCAGGAGAATCACTTGAACCAGGGAGGTGGAGGTTGCAGTGAGCTGAGATCGAGCCACTGCACTCCAGTCTGGTTGACAGAGGGAGACTCCATCTGAAAAAAAAAGAATAAAGAAAGTTTCTCCATCAGGCTGGGCATGGTGGCTCATGCCTGTAATCCCAACAGGTTGAGAGGCCTAGGATGGAAGATCCCTTGAGCCCAGGAGTTTAAGACCACCCTGGGCATAGCAAGACCACATCTCTACAAATAATAATTTTTTTAAAAACCTGGGCATGGTGGTGTGTGCCTGTAGTCTCATCTACTTCGGAGGCTGAGGTGGGAGGATCGCTTGAGTCTGGGAGGTTGAGGCTGCAGTGAGTTGTGTTGAGCCACTGCACCCCAGCCTGGGTGACAGAGTGAGACCCCATCTCAAAAAAAAAAAAAAAAAAAAAAAACAAGTTTCTCCATCAAATGTGGGAAGTTTTTAGCTGTTATTTCTTTGGATATTTTTTTCTGTTCCTTCCTGTTTAGTCCTGATAACTAAGTAACAAGGAAGGGGCCCTAGTTCAGGAAGGGCCCCAGGATGGGGAGAACAATGAACAATTGTTCTGAGAGATGGCTAATCACAAACAACCTGCTGGCACAATGACCTCATTCCACCAGGTAGGCCCCTCCAGCATGAACCTCCAGCCCCCGCCTCTTGGCAGACAGCCCCTTCTCTGCTGCCTGTTGTACCCTGCAATGTATCTTCATACTTTCTCTAACAAATCTGCTTTTCTTTTTTCCTTTTTTTCTTTTTTTTTTTTTTTTTTGAGACAGAGTTTAGCTGTTGTTGCCCAGGCTGTAGTACAATGGCGTGATGTTGGCTCGCCGCAAACTCTGCCTCCCAGGTTCAAGCAATTCTCCTGCCTCAGCCTCCCAAGTAGCTGGGATTAATTTTGTATTTTTTTAAATAGAGACAGGGTTTCTCCATGTTGGTCAGGCTGGTCTCAAACTCCTGACCTCAGGTGATCCTCCCACCTCAGCCTCCCAAAGTGCTGGGATTACAGGCATGAGCCACCATGCCCAGACTTTTTTATTTTTTATTTTTTTAAATTTTTTTGGGGGGGACGGCGTCTCCCTCTGTTGCCAAGGCTGGAGTACAGTGGCGCAATCTTGGCTCACTGCAACCTCCGTCTCCTGGGTTCAGGCGATTCACCTGTCTCAGCCTCCCAAGTAGCTGGTATTTCAGGCATGCACCACCATGCCTGGCTAATTTTTGTATTTTTAGTAGAGATGGGGTTTCACCATGGTGGCCAGGCTGGTCTCAAACTCCTGACCTCAAATGATCCACCCACCTAGGCCTCCCAGTGTGCTGGGATTACAGATGTGAGCCACTGTGCCTGGCCTAAATTTGTTTTTCTTTTCTTTTATTTTCTTTTTTTTGAGACAGAGTCTTGCTCTGTCGCCCAGGCTGGAGTGCAGTGGCCCGATCCTGGCTCACTGCAAGCTCTGCCTCCTGGGTTCACGCCATTCCCCTGCCTCAGCCTCCCGAGTAGCTGGGACTACAGGCACCCACCACCACACCCAGCTAATTTTTTTTTTTGTATTTTTAGTAGAGATGGGGTTTCACCGTGTTAGCCAGGATGGTCTCAATCTCCTGACCTCATGATCCTCCTGCCTCGGCCTCCCAAAGTGCTGGGATTACAGGCGTGAGCCACCACGCTGAGCCAAATCTGCTTTTCTTTACCTACGACTGTCTTGGTAAATTCCTTTACTGCTTGCAACACAGGCCCCAGCTACTCGCAGCCATGATACTTCCTGTCTTCACTTCTTTTATGTATGTATGTATGTATGTATGTATGTATGTATGTATGCTTAATGTTCCCCTTTCATCTCGCATGTCTCCACTTCTGCTGCTATTGCTGTTACTTGTGTGTTGGTGCACCTAATGGTGTCCCATATTTCTCTGATGCTGTGTTCATTTTTCTTGATTCTTTCTACTGTCTGGTCTTCAGTTTGCATAATCCATATTGTTCTCTCTACTAGTTCACTGGTGCTTTTGCCTGCCAGCTCTAATTTACTGTTATCCCCTCTAGTGAATTTTTTTCTTTTTTCTCTTCTCATTTCAGTTATTATACAGTACTATTCAACTTCAAGATTTGTGGGGTTTTGTTTTGTTTTGTTTTGAGACGGAGTCTCACTCTGTCGCCCAGCCTGGAGTGCAGTGGCGCGATCTCGGCTCACTGCAAGCTTTGCCTCCCAGGTTCACACCATTCTCCTGCCTCAGCCTCCTGAGTAGCTGGGACTACAGGCACCCGCCACCACACCAGACTAATTTGTTTTTGTATTTTTATTAGAGACAGGGTTTCACCGTGTTAGCCAGGATGATCTCGATCTCCTGACCTCGTGATCCACCCGCCTCAGCCTCCCAAGGTGCTGGGATTACAGGCGTGAGCCACCGCGCCCGGCAATTTGTGGGTTTTTTGTAATTTTTACTTCTTACTTAATCTTCTCTATTTGATGAAATAGCGTCATCATACTTTCCCCTTCCCTTAAGGTTTTTTTTTTGGTCGTTGTTATTGTTTTTTGGGTTTTTGTTTTGTTTTGTTTTGTTTTGTTTTTTTGAGACGAAGTCTAGCTCTGTTGCCCAGGCTGGAGTGCAGTGGCACCATCTCGGCTCACTGTAGCCTCTGCCTCCCAGGTTCAAGCAATACTCCTGCCTCAGCCTCCCGAGTAGCTGGAATTACAAGCATGCACCACCACGCCCGGCTAATTTTTGTATTTTTAGTAGAAATGGGGTTTCACCATGTTGGGCAGTCTGGTTTCGAACTCCCGACCTCAGGTGATCCACCCACCTCGGCCTCCCAAAGTGCTAGAATTACAGGTGTGAGCCACCGCACCTGGCCTATTTTATTTTATTTTTATTTTTGAGACAGTTTCACTCTTGTTGCCCTTGCTGGAGTGCAGTGGCGTGAGCTTTGCTCACTGCAACCTCTGCCTCCTGGGTTCAAGCAATTCTCCTGCCTCGGCCTCCCCAGTAGCTGGGATTACAAGCATGTGCCACCACACCCGGCTAATTATTTTTTAATTTTTAGTAGAGATGGGGTTTCATCATGTTGGCCAGGCTGGTCTCAAAGTCCTGACCTCAAATGATCCACCCACCTCGGCCTCCCAGAGTGCTGGGATTACAGGCGTGAGCCACCACACCCGGCCTATTTTCTTGAATAAATGTGTCTCCATTTGCTGTATGACCTTTGAAAACTCTCAGGGGGTTGTTGTTTTATTTTTTAATAATTTCCACCAGTTATGCTTGCTTTGTTGGGGAGAAGGTCCACTAAGCTCCTCATCCTACCCATCTGAAAGTCCTTCTCTCTCTAGTTTTTAAAATGGTGATATATAGCTAATAGAGAAGAACATGCATACAATGTACATAAACAGTTTAATGAATTGTAAAATTAATATATGTGTAACCCCTGCCAGGTTAAAAAAGAGACTGTGACCAATTCCCCAGAAGTCACCTGCACACTTCTGAAATTGCTTTTTCCACTTAACAAAATATTCTAGCTATTGTTCCCTGTTAAAACTTCTAGAAGAATTTTTAAACCTGTTTAATCACGGTATGGCATACACTGATTTATAAGCATACAGATTGATGAATTGTCACAAATAACACAGAAAAGCTTACTCCTATGGTTTAGACACGGTTTGGCTCCGCCAACCCTCGTGTTAAAATTTGATCCCCAGTGTTGGAGGAGGGGCCTGATTAGAGGTGTTTGGATCTTGTGGGTGGATCTCTCAGGAAGGGAGTGAGTTCGTTCTCACTCTTAGTTCCCTGGGGAACTGGTTGTTGAAAAGAGCCTGGCAAAGGCTGGGCGTGGTGGCTCACTCCTGTAATCCCAGCACTTTGGGAGGCCGAGGTGGGTGGATCACGAGGTCAAGAGATTGAGACCATTCTGGCCAACATGGTGAAACGCTGTCTCTACTAAAAATACAAAAAATTAGCCGGGCGTGGTGGCGCGTGCCTGTAGTCCCAGCTACTCAGGAGGCTGAGACAGGAGAATCGCTTGAACCCGGGAGGCGGAGGTTGCAGTGAGATGAGATTGCACCACTGCACTTCAGCCTGACAACAGAGTGAGACTCCATCTAAAAAAGAAACAAAGAGAGAGGAAGGGAGGAAGGAAGGAAGGAAGGAAGGAGGAAGGAAGGAAGAAGGAAAGAAGGAAGGAAGGAAAGAAGAAAGGAAAGAAAGAAGGAAGGAAAGAAGGAAAGAAAGAGCCTGGCACTTCCCCTCTCTCTTGCATGGCTCTTCCTATGTGATCTCTGCATGGTGGCTCTCCTTGGACTTAGGCCATGAATGAAAGCAGCAAAAGGCCCTGACCAGAAGCCAAACAGATACTGTCATGCTTCTTGTACAGTCTGCAGAACTGTGAGCCACATAAACCTCTTCACTTTATGAATTACCCAGCCTTAAATAACTAATAAGTAAATAAAAATGTTTAAAAAGATTTCAAGTGCCGGGCACAGTGGCTCACACCTGTAATGCTAACACTTTGGGAGGTCAAGGCAAGAGGGTTGCTTGAGCTCAGGAGTTGGAGACCAGCCTGGGCAACATAGTGAGTCCCAATTATATAAATAAAAAACATTTATAAATAAAAATAAATACATTACCCAGTCACAAGAAGATCACTTGAGCCCAGGAGTTCAAGACAAGGCTGGGCAACATAGTGCGACTTCCTTTCCACTAAAAAAAGAAAAAATTAGCTGGGAATTACTTGGGAGCCTGAGGTGGGAGGAGTGCTTGAGCCCAGGAATTTGAGATTGCAGTAAGTTATGACTGAGCCACTGTACTCCAGCCTGGGCAAACAGTGTGATACCTTTTCCCAAAAATAAATAAATAAATAAAAGTAAATTACCTGGCTGGATGTGGTGGCTCACGCCTGCAATCCCATCATTTTGGGAGGCCGAGGCGGGCCAATCACCTGAGGTTGGGAGTTCGAGACCAGCCTGGACAACATGGAGAAACCCCGTGTCTACTAAAAATACAAAATTTGCTGGGTGTGGTGGCACGTGCCTGTAATCTCAGCTACTTGGGAGGCTGAAGCAGGAGAATCGCTTGAACCTGGGAGGCAGAGGTTGCAGTGGGCCGAGATCATGCCATGGCACTCCAGCTTGGGCAACAAGAGCGAAACTCCATCTCAAAAATAAAAAAATAAATAAAATAAAAATAAGGCCGGGTGCGGTGGCTCAAGCCTGTAATCCTAGCACTTTGGGAGGCTGAGGCGGGTGGATTGCCTGAGCTCAGGAGTTCAAGACCAGCCTGAGCAGCATGGTGAAACCCCATCTCTACTAAAAAAAAAAAAAAAAAGCTAGACGTGGTGGCGGGTGCCTGTAGTCCCAGCTGCTTGGGAGGCTGAGGCAGGATAATTGCTTGAGCCCAGGAGGCAGAGGTTGCAGTGAGCTGAGATCATGCCACTGCACTCCAGCCTGGCGACACAGCAAGAGTACATCTCAAAAAATAAAATTAAATAAATAAAATAAAAATAAGTTACCTGCCAGGCACGGTGGCTCACGCCTGTAATCCCAGCACTTTGGGAGGCCGAGGTGGGCAGATCACCTGAGATCAGGAGTTCAAGACCAGCCGGGCCAACATGGTGAAACCTCCGTCTCTACTAAAAATACAAAAATTAACCGGGCATGGTGGCACATGCCTGCAGTCCCAGCTACTCGGGAGGCTGAGGCATGAGAATCGCTTAAACCCGGGAGGCAGAGGTTGCAGTGAGCTGAGATCGTGCCACTGCACTCCAGCCTGGGTGACAGAGTAAGACTCTGTCTCAAAAATAAATAAATAAATAAATAAATAAATAAATAAATAAATCAGGCTCAGTTATTACCTTATAGCAACATAAACAGTCTAAGACACTTATTTATCGATAAAGTAAGTGGCATCATAGTTCACTGCAGCCTCCAACTCCTGGGCTCAAGCAATCCTCCCATCTCAGTCTCCCCAATAACTTGGACTACAGGCAGGCACCACCATGCAAGGCTAATTTTTTAATTTTGGAGAGATGGGCGTGGGGGGGGGGGTCTTGCTAAGTTGCCCAGGCTGGTCTCGAACTCCCAGCCTCAAGTGATTGTCTTGCCTCAGCCTTCCAAAGTGAACTAATTCTTTTTTTTTTTTTTTTTTTTTTTGAGATGGAGTTTTGCTGTTGTTCCCCAGGCTGGAGTGCGGTGGCGTAATCTCAGCTCACTGCAACCTCCACCTCCCAGGTTCAAGCAATTCTCCTGCTTCAGCCTCCTGAGTAGTTGGGATTACAGGGGCCTGCCACCACGCCCAGCTAATTTTTGTATTTTTAGTAGAGATGGGGTTTCACCATGTTGGCCAGGCTGGTCTCAAACTCTTGACCTGGTAATCCGCCCGCCTCATCCTCACAAAGTGCTGGAATTATAGGAGTGAGCCACCGCACCCGGCCGTGATTTGTACTTCTTTCTTTTTTTTCTTTTTTTCTTTTCGTGTGTGTGTGTGTGTGTGTGTGTGTGTGTGTGTGTGTGTCTGTGTGATGGAGTTTAACTCTTGTCGCCCAGGCTGGAGTGCAATGGCGCGATCTCGGCTCACTGCAACCTCCGCCTCCCACGTTCAAGCGATTCTCCTGCCTCAGCCTCCCGAGTAGCTGGGATTACAGGTGCCCGCCACCACGCCCAGCTAATTTTTTTGTATTTTTACAAAAAATAGAGATGGGGTTTCACCATATTGGCCAGGCTGGTCTCGAACTCCTGACCTCAGGTGATCCGCCCACCTTGGCCTCCCAAAGTGCTGGGATTACAGGCATGAGCCACTGTTCCCAGCCTGTATATCTTATGTTATGAAATACCTGATTATGTCCATTGCCTATTTTTCAGTCAGGGATTTCCTGCAGTTGATAGTTATTGAATTGGAGGAGCTCTTTGCATTTTGGGGATGTTGACCCTGTATGTTTTATGCATGTTACTTTTTGGGGTTTTTTTGAAACAGGGTCTTGCTCTGTTGTCCAGGCTGGGGTGCGGTGGCACGATCTTGGCTCACTGCAGCCTTGACCTCCTGGGCTCAAGCAATCCTCCCATCTCAGCCTCCCGAGTAGCTGGGATTACAGGCGCCTGCCACCATGCCCTGCTAATAATTTTATTTTTATATTTTATTTTATTTTATTTTTGAGATGGAGTCTCACTCTGTCACCCAGGCTGGAGTGCAGTGGCATGATCTCAGCTCACTGCAACCTCCGCCTCCCAAGTTCAAGCGATTCTTCTGCCTCAGCTTTCTGAGTAGCTGGGATTACAGGTGTGCACCACCACGCCTGGCTAATTTTTGTATTTTTAGTAGAGACAGGGTTTCACCATATTGACCAGGCTGGTCTTGACCTCCTGACCTCGTGATCCACCCGCTTAGGCCTCCCAAAGTGCTATGATTACAGGTGTGAGCCACCGCGCCAGGCCAATTTTTGTATATTTTGTAAAGATGGGGTTTTGCCATGTTGCCCAGGCTGTTCTACCTTTTTTTTTAAATACTTTTAAATAAAACACAAATTTTTGTCATGTCCCATAACCTTCTCATGACTTCCTCATTACCCCAGCAAAGTCCTAATATTCCCTGCTATCCATGACCTAGCCTCTGCACCTCACTCCAACTTCACTTCCTGCCATCCTTCACAATCCTTTTTCAGTCTTCGGTCCATTTTGGAAGTAGTGCTGGGCACAATTAATCCCCATTTTGTCTGTTTGACCACCCTTCCCTACAGCCATCTGTGTCTGAGGTCTTAGACACATTTGTAATCCCTGATTTTCCCATCTCATATGAGTTCCTTGGAGGCAGGACCTGTTAACAGAGTGGATACTCAATTAATGATTATTGAATGAGCAAAAGAATAAATGGCTGGTTTTGTAAAACTTGGATATGGTTTTCCTTAATTATATGGTAAGCAAATACTTTTCTAAATGTTACTCCTGATTTTTTCAGTATGAAGTAAAGACAGAAACAAAGGTCTTTTCTCTTATTATATATTTTTCTTCCTCCCTCTTTTTTATTCTTTTGTTACAGACAGGATCTCACTATGTTGCCCAGCCTGGTCTCAAACTCCTGGGTACAAGCAACACTCCCACCTTTGCCTCCAGGGTAGCTGAGGATACAGGCATGAGTCACCATTATATTTTCACCACCAAAAATTTTGCATCAAGTTCTGCTGTGGTGGCTCACGCCTATAATCCCAGCACTTTGGGAGGCCAAGGCGGGTGGATCACTTGAGCTCAGGAGTTCGAGACCAGCCTGGCCAACATGGTGAAACCCCATCTCTACTAAAAATACAAAAATTAGCAGAACGAGGTGGCGCATGGCTGTAGTCCCAGCTACTCGGGAGGCTGAGGCAGGAGAATCGATTGAACCCGGAAGATGGAGGTTGCGGTGAGCCAAGATCACGCCACTGCACTCCAGCCTAGGTGACAGAGCAAGATTGTCTCAAAAAAAAAAATGCATCAGGATCAGGTTAGGCTGGGGTGATCTCCATGATACATCTCAGGAGCAAGTCAGAGACAAAGTGTGAACCAGCTGAGAAGGTAAAACTCTCAGGTTTTCCTAGGAACTCTTGCTTAAAAACAAAAAACAAAACTCCTTCAGGGACCTCTTGTGCCAGCGTGTATAAGGCTGCATTGCGCACATTGCCTCAGGCGGCTGCTTTAGGAAGTGGGTATCACTTCCTCCACGGACAGTTTGCATTGCAGGCAATGGAACCAGTGGAGAAACCTGGTAGACAACACCTTAACCAACTGATTCATGTTCATGTAATTAACAATAGGACTTATCAACATCATGAACTCCTTGATATGATGTGATTAGAAGGGCACATCATCTCCATGACATTCTTGCCCAAAACTCATAATCTCAGTCTAATAAATGAGAAATCACAAGACAAATCTATATTGAGGGGTGTTCCAGAAAATAAGTGAACTATATTTTTCAGAAGTATTTTTTGGACCAGGCGTGGTGGCTCATACCTGTAATCCCAGCACTTTGGGAGGCCAAAGTGGGTGGATTACCTGAGGTCAGGAGTTCAAGACCAGCCTGATCAACATGGTGAAACCCCGTCTACTAAAAATACAAAAATTAGCTGGGCGTGGTGGCACGCACTTGTAATCCCAGCTACTTGGGAGGCTGAAGTAGGAGAATTGCTTGAACCCAGGAGGTGAAGGTTGCGGTGAGCCGTGATGGCGCTGCTGCACTCCAGCCTGGGCCACAGAATGAGACTCCATCTCAAAAAACAAAAAAAAGGCCGGGCACGGTGGCTCACACCTGTAATCCCAGCACTTGGGGAGGCCGAGGCGGGTGGATCACGAGGTCAGGAGTTCGAGACCACTCTGGCCAATATGGTGAAACCCTGCCTCTACTAAAAATACAAAAATTAGCCGGGCGTTTGCGGGTGCCTGTAATCTCAGCTACTCGGGAAGCTAAGGCAGGAGAAATTCTTTTTTTTTTTTTTTTTAATGAGACGGGGTCTCACTCTGTCGCCCAGGCTGGAGTGCAGTGGCGCAGTCTCCGCTCACTGCAACCTCCACCTCCCGGGTTCACACCATTCTCATGCCTCAGCCTCCTGAGTAGCTGGGACTACAGGCGCTCGCCACCACGCCCGGCTAATTTTTTGTATTTTTAGTAGAGATGGAGTTTCACCATGTTAGCCAGGATGGTCTTGATCTCCTGACCTCGTGATCCGCCTGCCTCGGCCTCCCAAAGTGGTGGGATTACAGGTGTGAGCCACCATGCCCAGCCAAGGCAGGAGAAATTCTTGAACCCAGGAGGCAGAAGTTGCAGTGAGCCGAGGTCGCGCCACTGCACTCCAGCCTGGGTGACAGAGTGAGACTCCATTTCAAAAATCAAAAACAAAAAACAAAAACAAAAAGAAAACCAGGCCGGGTGCAGTGGCTCACGCCTGTAATCCCAGCACTTTGGGAGGCCAAGGCAGGCGCATCACGAGGTCAGGAGATCGAGACCACCCTGGCTAACACGGTGAAACCCTGTCTCTACTAAATATACAAAAAATTAGCCAGGCCTGGTGGCATGCGCCTGTAGTCCCAGCTATTCGGGGGGGCTGAGGCAGGAGAATTGCTTGAACCTGGGGGAGGTGGAGGTTGCGGTGAACGGAGGTTGTGCCACTGCACTCCAGTCTGGGTGACAGAACGAGACTCCGTCTCAAAAAAAAAAAAAAAAAAAGCAGAAGTCTAAAGTCTTTTTTTTTCTGACATGAAGTCTTGCTCTGTCGCCCAGGCTGGAGTACAGTGGCGCGACCTCGGCTCACCACAACCTCTGCCTTTGCTGCCCAGGCTGGAGTGCAGTGGTGCAATCGGAGCTCACTGCAGCCTCCAACTCCTGGGCTCAAGCGATCCTCCTGACTTGGCCTCCCAAAGTGCTGAGATTACAGGCATGAGCCACCGTGCCTCACCTTTAAATACATTTTAATGAATTTTGTTGTACCTTGAAAAGCAAAGTGGTTTTACCCTTGAGATTCCAGGGCCCATGCCAGAATGCCCAGAGCTTCTATACCTGGAAACATGGCCATGAGATTGAATAACGGGTTGCCTCTTTTTAAGACCATTCTCCAAACCACCATACTAATTTACCTTCCAAAATATGGTATGTCCCCATTTCATTCAATTTTATATTTTTTTCTTTTCTTTTCTTTTATTTATTTATTTATTTATTTATTTGAGAGGGAGTTTAGCTCTGTCACCCAGGCTGGAGTCCAGTGGCACAATCTCAGCTCACCACAACCCCTGCCTCCTGGGTTCAAGCGATGCTCCTGCCTCAGCCTCCCGAGTAACTGGGATTATCGGTAACCACTACCACACATGGCTAATTTTTTATTTTTAGTACAGATGGGGTTTCACCATGTTGGCCAGGCTGGTCTCGAACTCCCGACCTCAGAGGATCTGCCTGCCTCAGCCTCCCAAAGCGCTGGGATTATAGGCATGAGCCACCGTGCCCAGTCCATTTAATTATATTTATAGCAGCTGGTCATGCAGTGACTCACGCCTGTAATCTCAGCACTTTGGGAGGCCAAGGCAGTCGGATTACCTGAGGTGAGGAGTTTGAGACTAACCTGGCCAACATGGCAAAATCCCACCTCTACTGAAAATAGAAAAATTAGCCCAGCGTTGTGTCAGGCACCTCTAATCCCAGCTACTCAGGAGGCTGAGGCACGAGAATCGCTTGAACCTGGGAGGTGGAGGTTGCAGTGAGCCGAAATCACACCACTACACTCCAGCCTGGGCAACAGAGTGAGACCCTGTCTCAAAAAAAATATATATGTATATATATATATATTTTATATATATATATTTATTTACAACTTCCAATGTAAAGGCGTATTTCTTTCATCCAAGGTGTGTGCTGTAATTCATTTACTGCATCCCCTTCTGTTGATAATTTAAGTGGTCTTCAAGCTTTTGCCACAATAATATGATAATGAATCTCATAAAAAATTATTTTACACATCTTCAATGATATCCTTGAGCCTAATTTGTAGCAGAATTATATTACTCTTTCTTAAGAATATTTAAGTATCTGTCATCTACTGTACAAACTATTTTATTTTTATTTTACTTATTTACTTTTTTAGAGGCAGGATCTTGCTCTGTCACACAAGCTATAGTGCAGTGCCACGATCATAGCTCACTGTATCCACCAACTCCTGGCCTCAAGTAATCCTCCTGCCTCAGCCTCCCATAGTGCTGAAAGTACAGGTGTGAGCCACCACACCCAGCAACTCTGTATAAGCCACTCTGTATAAACTCTTTTTTTTTTTCATTTTAAATTTTTTTTCATTTTCTAAGGCAGAGTTTCACTCTGTCGCCCAAGCTGGAGTGCAATGACGTGATCTCGGCTCACTGCAACCTCCACCTCCCGGGTTCAAGCGATTCTCATGCCTCAGCCTCCTGAGTAGCTGGAACCACAGGCGCCTGCCACCATGCCCGGCCAATTTTTGTATGTTTAGTAGAGACAGAGTTTTGCCATGTTTGCCAGGTTGGTCTTGAACTCCTGGCCTCAAGTGATCCACCTGCCTCGGCTTCTCAGAGTGCTGGGATTACAGGCATGAACCACCGCACCCTGCCTGTATGAACTCTTGAGGTCCTACACAAGAGAGATCTGTCTCAATAATCTTTTTTTTTTTTAATTTTCTGACTGCTTCATTTTTCCTTCATATCAGTAATCTTTGAAGCCTTAGGACCTGGTTCTCACAATATGTTTAATGTTGCTATATGTATATGTGTGTGTGTTGCCCAGGCTGTAGTGCTGTGGCCTGATCACCGCTCAGTGCATCCTCAACCTCCTGGGCTGAAGTGATCCTCCCCCCTCAGCCCTCTGAGTAGCTGGGTCCACAGATGTGCGCCACCACACCCCATTAATTTTTAAATTTTTTTGTAGAGTCAGGGTGTCACTAGGTTGCCCAGGGTGGTCTCAAAGTCCTGAGCTCAAACAATCCTCCTGCCTAGGCCTCCCAAAGTGCTGGGATTATAGGCGTGAGCCACTAAGCTCGGCACATGTTGCTATATTTTTAAAATATGTATTTAAATGTCTGTATTCCCTACTAGACTACAAGTTTCTTTTTTTTCTTTTTCTTTTCTTTTTCTTTTTTTTTTTTTTTGAGACAGAGTCTCGCTCTGTTGCCCAGGCTGGAGTGCAGTGGGGCAATCTTGGCTCACTGCAACTTCCACCTACTAGGTTCAAGCGATTCTCCTGCCTCCACCTCCCGAGTAGCTGGGATTACAAGCATGTGCCACCACACCCGGCTAATTTTTGTATTTTTAGTGGAGATTGGGTTTTGCCATGTTGGCCAGGCTGGTCTCAAACTCTTGACCTCAGGTGGTCCGCCCGCCTAGGTCTCCCAAAGTGCTGGGATTACAGGCATGAGCCACTGTGCCCAGCCTATTTTATTGATATTTGAATCTAGTGCCTTGTTGAGTATTAAAATCTGACATCAGTAGGCACTATTCTTTTTCTTTTTTTTTTTTTTTTTTTTTTGTTTTTCTTTTGTTTTTCTTTTGTTTTTGAGACTGAGTGTCACTCTATAGCCCAGGCCGGAGTGTTGAGATCTCGGCTCACTGTAACCTCCGCCTCCCGGGTTCAAGCGATTCTCCTGCCTCAACCTCCCGAGTAGCTGGGATTACAGGCATGCGCCACCACACCCCGCTAATTTTTGTATTTTCAGTAGAGACGGGGTTTCACCATGTTGGCCAGGCTGGTCTCGAACTACTGGCCTCAAGTGATCCGCCCGCCTCGGCCTCCTAAAGTGCTGGGATTACGGGTATGAGCCTGGCCAATAGGCACTATTTCTTTCTTTCTTTCTTTTTTCTTTTTTAAGACGGAGTCTCGCTCTGTCGCCCAGGCTGGAGTGCAGTGGCAGGATCTCGGCTCACTGCAAACTCTGTCTCCCGGATTCAAGCAATCCTCCTGTCTCAGCCTCCCAAGTAGCTGGGGATACAGGCGCCACCACCACGCCCGGCTAATTTTTGTATTTTTAGTAGAGACAGGGTTTCACCATATGAGTCAGGCTGGTCTCAAAGTCCTGACCTCAGGTGATCCACCAGCCTCGGCCTCCCAAAATGCTGGGATTACAGGCATGAGCCACCACACCCCTCTAATTTTTGTATTTTCAGTAGAGACGGGGTTTTTTATGTCTATTATTTATTTTATGTCTATTATTTATTATTGTACACAACTGACGCTCCATCCCCCCCACCCCCGACCTTTTTCTTTTTTAGAGATGGGGTCTCGCTCTGTCACCCAGGCTGGAATGCAGTGGTGCGATAAGAGCTAAGTGCAGCCTCGAATTCCCAGGCCTCAGGCCATCCTCCTGCCTCAGCCTGCGGAGTAAATGGAACTACAGGTGCGCGCCACCACACCCAGCTGATTATTTCTAAATGATTTACTTCATCAACACTTCCCACATAAGTAGGGCACACATTAGGCGCTCCATAAATACTTGTCAAACGCCTACACGAAGGAAGATTAATGTCTGGCAAGAATGAATCCACCTTCCACCATGCCTACCCCGCTAAAAACTACATTTCCAGCCAGGCGTGGTGGCTCACACCTGTAATCCCAGCACTGTGGGAGGCCGAGGCAGGAGAATCACGAGGTCAGGAAATCGAGACCATCCTGGCTAACACGGTGAAACCCCGTCTCTACTAAAAATACAAAAATTAGCCAGGCGTGGTGGCGCATGCCTTTAGTCTCAGCTACTCGGGAGGCTGAGGCAGGAGAATCGCTTGAACCTGGGAGGCGGAGGTTGCAGTGAGCCGAGATCACGCCACTGCACTCCAGCCTGTGAAACAGAGCGAGACTCCATCTTAAAAAACAAAACAAAACAAACAAAAAAAAAACTACATTTCCCTGGGCGCTTGGCGCGACGCGCTCCCACCACGTTTGAAAGAGCGACAATTACTTCCCACGGCCCCTTACCGCCCCCTCCCGCCGGTGCCACAGTGGTTGATGGGAAGGTAGTTTTTACGCACTTTGGCCGGCCCCTAGCGATCTGAACCCAAACTAAATTTCCCAGCAAGCAGCGCGCCGGCCTGGGAAAAGGAGCAAGATGGCTGACTCCAAAGAGGGTGTTTTGCCGCTGACGGCTGCTTCCACTGCCCCAATTTCATTCGGCTTCACTCGCACGTCCGCACGGAGGCGGCTGGCCGACTCGGGAGACGGCGCGGGGCCATCTCCGGAGGAGAAGGATTTCTTGAAAACCGTGGAAGGGAGGGAGCTGCAGAGGTGACGCGCCGGGTCTTTCACCCCTTGGAAATCTCTGCGGTGGGCGTAAGCGGGAGGGAGGAATCTCAGTTGTTTGTCTTGGTGACAGTGACCTGTTAAGCCTGAAGCACAGCCTGAGTAAATTCGTGGAGGCCAGAAGGCGGGAGTTTATAGGAGGGGGTGAGGAAATTGGGCCTGATAGCTGTGGGAATTGCGAAGAGAGGATGTATTACTGAGAAGAAGTGTCTTTAGGACTTGAAGACACTAAGGTCTGTGCGTTCTGGGAGAAGGAAAGAATGAGAAAATGACAGGACCTGCTAGTGTCTCAACTGAAGGGCTGAGGCGTCCCCGATATGGGGAACGGGATGGAGCGGCAGATTCAGGTTGATGGAGGCCACCATCAGCTTAATGAGGAGAGGAGTGTCTGAGGGGTCTGAGGGAGGGATTTCCAGAAGAGAATCAGGCATCTAGGAAGCTGTTTGGGAACCTGGAGCTGGGGAAGGTCTGGGCTGAAGATAGTGATTTGTGGGCCATTGTAGAAGCCGGTATTGAGTTAAACAGAGAGTGCAGGACTTATTTCTCGAAGGCACTGACATTTATGAGTTGGGGGCACTGGGGAGATAATCCAGAGAATGCACGATCAGAGAGGAACAGGAGATCCAGACATGGAGTAGGGAAGACATGGTCTGTGGGGCTGGGGTGAGTTTGGCTCTTGTGTTTTCTCTGAATGAAGGAGTGTGACCCACTGACCCTGCCATTCTCCCAACCCCACCCCTCTGTGTCCACATCAGTGTGAAGCCCCAGGAGGCCCCCAAGGAACTCGTCATCCCTTTGATCCAGAATGGCCATCGCAGGCAGCCACCAGCCCGGCCCCCTGGGCCATCCACAGATACTGGGGCCTTGGCGGATGGGGTGGTGTCCCAGGCTGTGAAGGAGCTCATTGCGGGTGAGTGATACCCCTTTACCCTTCCCCATTGAAGGAAGAAGAGGAAGAAGGTGGAAGGATAGAGTGGGACTTCATTGCTCCCTCCTATTCTTCCTTTAGAATCCAAGAAGTCTCTGGAAGAGAGAGAGAATGCGGGTGTCGACCCCACGCTCGCTATCCCCATGATCCAGAAAGGATGCACCCCCAGCGGGGAAGGGGCAGACAGCGAACCCCGGGCAGAGACAGTGAGCTGGCCCCTTGTCCCCCTCCTGCCCCAGCCTTTCTTTGCCCTGTCCGCCAGGCTGTGTCCCTGCACGTAGCAGGGAAAGTCTGTGTGTGTGCTAGAGGCCCGCCACCTGCCCCTTCTCCTGTCATCATTTTGGAAGCATTACCAAATGAATCTGGGTATCTGGATGCTAAAAACGTACTTGAATCCTAGGATTATCTGAATGAGGTGTGCAGCAAAGGGAACAGGAAATGTAAAGGCCCTGAAGGTAGACACTGCCTAAAGTGTTTGCGGAACACCAAGGAGACCAGTGTGACTGAAGTGGAATGAGTAAGGGGAAGGGGTAGTAGACGAAGTCAGAAAGGAGATGGGGGTGCTAGACCAGGCAGGGCCTTGTAGGCCATTGTGAGGACTTTGGCTTTTACTCTGAGTGAGATGAGAGCCTGGACAAGCCCTGAGCATAGATGAAATATGATTTATGATTTGACAGTATCCCTCTGGAAGCTGTGAACAGACTCATTAGTGAAGGTGGAAGCAAGGGGATGAGTAGTCCAGGCTAGAGATGCTGGGGACTTAGACCAGAGTGGTCTGGAAGGATAAGTAGGGTTTAGTGAGAGAGGGAAGAACAGAGTGAGTACTCCTGTTAGTAGTAACAGCCCAAGCAATGGCATAGTGGTAGAAAATCGATATGGTGTGTCCATCAGTGAGGCAACATGTGGTGTATCTGGAGTGAATGGGAAGGAGTGATGATGGGAGGTGACAAGAGGGGACGTGAGAGGCATGTCTACAGAAGTAACCAAGTCTGTCTTTCATACCCACAGACCTGACTTTTCACCTCTTCTTTCATAAATTTCTTGCACTGCTTCTTTTGAGTCTAGTTCTTCTACAGCCCCACACCACTCTCTCTTTCAACTGAACTGTTCTCTTCAGCCTTCAGATGTGCCCTGGTTTCCTTCAACATTTTTTTGTTTGTTTGTTTTTTGTTTTTTGAGATAGAGTCTTGCCCTGTCGCCCAGGCTGGAGTGAAGTGGTGTGATCTCGGCTCACTGCAACCTCCCGGTCCTGGGATCAAGCGATTCTCCTGCCTCAGCCTCCCAAGTAGCTGGGATTACAGACACGTGTCACTACCGCCTGGCTAATTTTTGTATTTTTAGTAGAGACGAGGTTTCGCCACGTTGGTCAGGCTGGCCTTGAACTCCTGACCTCAAGTGATCTACCCACCTCAGCCTCCCAAAGTGCTGGGATTACCGGCGTGAGCCACTGTGCCCAGCTCCTTCATCTTTAAAGAAAAAAAAGATCCTCACTTCCCTCTTCATCCTTTCATCCTGTTCCAGCTTTGGCCTCATTCTTCTAATTTTTCCCTCTATAAACCTCCTCCTGCAGCTTTCTACATATCAGGTGACCAAAAATTCCATCCATCCTTCCTCTCACTCAGCATAAAAACCTTGGAGTCAGCCAGGGGCGGTGGCTCACGCCTGTAATCCCAACACTTTGAGAGGCTGAGGCCAGCGGATCACCTGAGGTCAGGAGTTCAAGACCAGCCTGGCCAACATGGCGAAACCCCATCACTAGTAAAAATACAAAAATTAGCTGGGCATGGTGGCACGTGCCTGTAATCACAGCTACTCGGGAGGCTGAGGCAGGAGAATCGCTTGAACCCAGGAGACTGAGGTTGCAGTGAGCTGAGATCATGCAACTGCACTCCAGCCTGGGCAACACAGCAAGACTTCATCTCAAGAAAAAAAAAAAAGAAAACCTTGGAGTCATCCTCAATTCCTCTCTTTATTTCGTGCCCCATACAATATGCCAGCACAATCCTATCATCTTTTTTCAAAATGACACCCAGAACTGACCACTTCTCACCACCACCAATACCACTGCAAAGGGCTGAGCCACCAGCATCTCTCATCTGGACTATTAGAGTAATTTCCTCACTGGTCCCTCTTGTGGCTCCCACCTGGCTCAAGGTCCTCTGACTCCTGCCCAGCTCTCCTGATTTGGTCTCTTCCCCACCCTTCTCTGCTGTCTACTCTCACTCTCTCCATTTCAGTCATGGTGACTTTCATGATACCCCTCACACATACCAAGCCTTGTCCGGCCTCAGGGCCTTTGCTGTTACTATGCTTTCAGCTTGGGACACTTTCTTCTCATATCCTCATGGCTCCCTCTGCTGTCATCTCCTGATCTCTGCTTAAATGTCAACCCAGTGGCACTCCCTCTCCATCCCTCTGCATCTTCTTACCCTGTTTTCTTGTTCTTTACATCACCACCTGACATATCATGTTTTCTGGGTTTTATTTATAGTATGTCTCCACAACTAGATCAGAAGCTCTGCAGGGGTAGGGGTTTTTGTCTGTTTGGTTCACAGCTTCATCCCCAGTACCTAGAACAGTACTTGCCATAGACAAGGTGCTTTATATTTGTTGAAGGACTGAACATGGAGGAGTACAGTGAGGGATGGAAAGAGGAAATCAAAACTCACCCTTGAGCTGATTGGAAAAGACGCGTAGCAGGTCTCCCAGTGGGGGGCAGCAAGTGCACTTCAAATAGAAGACCCAGTGTAAGCAAAGCCTGACCCTCCTTCCTCTACCTGAACCTGTAGGTGCCAGAGGAGGCTAATTATGAGGCGGTCCCCGTGGAGGCCTATGGGCTGGCCATGCTGCGGGGCATGGGCTGGAAACCTGGCGAGGGCATCGGCCGCACCTTCAATCAGTGAGTTCTGGGATAGGGTCGAGGGGACAGACAGATCATCAGGCTGCAATCAAGATCCCCAGGGTCACTGCCAAACCAGAACCACCTAGGCAGGGAGGGAGGATACATTATCGCCCTAACTAATTCAGCAGCCCCTTCCACTACTGTTTTAAACTCCCATTTGCCCTTTGAAACTCTAATAGAATCCCATTTATATAAAGTTTGCCTCTAGGGACATCAATTTCCTCATCTGAAAAATGGGGGTAATAGTACTGACTTCATAGGTCTGTTGTGAGAGTTAAATGAAATTATACACATAGGCCAGGTAGTGGCTCATGCCTGTAATCCCAGCACTTTCGGAGACTGAGGCAGGAGGATCACTTAACTCCAGGAGTTTGAGACTGGCCTGGGCAACATAGGGAGGCCCCATCTCTACAAAAGATTAATTAATTTTAAGAAAAGAAATTAGGGCCGGGTGTGGTGGCTCACACATATAATCCCAGCACTTTGGGAGGCTGAGGTGGGTGGATCACGAGGTCAGGAGATCGAGACCATCCTGGCTAACACGGTGAAAGCCCATCTCTACTAAAAAAAAAAATACAAAAAATTAGCCGGGCATGGTGGCGGGTGCCTGTAGTCCCAGCTACTCAGGAGGCTGAGGCAGGAGAATGGCGTGAACCTGGGAGGCGGAGCTTGCAGTGAGCCGAAATTGCACCACTGCATTCCAGCCTGGGTGACAGTGAGACTCCGTCTCAAAAAAAAAAAAAAAAAGGAAAAGGAAAAGAAATTATATACATAAAGCACATACAGTAGGCCCTGACCCCAAGAAAGCGTAGACTAAACATTTGCTATTGTCATGCAGACTTGCAACCCTTTCTTCACAATTGCAAACTCAATAATTCTGAAAACCAAACATTTTTTCATAACCCATTGGCAGCCAAATATGACCTGAATTGGCGTTTTTTTTTTTTTTTTTTTTTTTTTTTTGAGATGGAGTCTCTGTCTGTCACCCAGGCTGGGATGCAGTGGCGCAATCTCGGCTCGCTGCGACCTCTACCTCCTGAGTTCAAGTGATTGTCCTGCCTCAGCCTCCTGAGTAGCTGGGATTACAGGCATGCACCAGCATGCCTGGTTAATTTTTGTATTTTTAGTAGAGATGGGGTTTCCCCATGTTGACCAGGCTGGTCTTGAACTCCTGACCTTAGGTGATCTACCAACCTCGGTCTCCCAAAGTGCTGGGATTACAGGCATGAGCCACCATGCCCAACCATGTTGAGTATTTATAATCCGGTTTCTCCTGCTCGGTGTGAATGTTCATATGATTTCCCCTGTAGAAATAGTATATTTGGTTACAGCGATCTGCCTCTGATCTCACTGTAGATATTATGTAATAGATGGTATATGCAGCATGTTATTAGGTTGAACCAAATGAAATTGCTGTTTCTGTAGGTCAAAAACAGTCCTAATATGAGATCAGAAAGGGCAACCTTGAAAATATTGGTGGGGGCTGGACACGGTGGCTCACACCTGTAATCTCAGCACTTTGGGAGGCCAAAGAGGACGGATCACCTGAGGTCAGGAGTTCAAGACCGGCCTGACCAACATGGTGAAACCCTGTCTCTACTAAAAATACAAAAATTAGCCGGGCATGGTGGCATGCGCCTGTAACCCCAGCAACTCGGGAGGCTGAGGCAGGAGAATCCCTTGAACCTGGGAGGTGGAGGTTGCATTGAGTCGAGATCGAGCCATTGTACTCCAGCCTGGATGACAAGAGCAAAACTCCATCTCCAAAAAAAAAGAAAAGAAAAGAAAATGTCAATGGGGCGGGTGGGGCGGGTTTGGGCAGGAAGAGGAAGTAAATAAGGTGTTGAAGACTGTTGCATCCTCTCCAACAAACCCATATTCCTCCCTGCAGAGTAGTGAAGCCCCGTGTCAACTCACTGAGGCCCAAGGGGTTAGGGCTGGGTGCCAACCTGACCGAGGCCCAGGCCTTGACCCCCACTGGCCCCTCCCGCATGCCAAGACCAGATGAGGAGCAAGAGAAAGATAAGGAAGATCAGCCTCAAGGGCTGGTGCCTGGAGGAGCTGTGGTGGTTCTTTCTGGCCCTCACCGAGGCCTCTATGGGAAGGTAAGGAACCAAGATATCCCGGGAGCCCAAAACAGGCAGCAGGGAAGGTTGATCCGAGGGTCAGATGGAGGAATAATTGGATTTGAGGTAGAAAGGCTGGGACTCCTAGTCTTTTAGGTCTGCTTGGCCCACTGCCTCACTCAGTAACCCAGGACCACTTGCTGGCCTTTGTGAGCCTCAGTTCCCAGCTAAAAGGAAGAGAATGCCATATGCCACAAGTCCCTGAAGATTAAATGCTTAAAGGATCCAAGGAAGCCCCACAGTCAGCTGAGGGAGACACAGGAACCAGACCTGGTCCCACTTCTCAGGGGTCAGAGTCTGGTTGGGGAGACAGAGGAAGCAGGCCTCTTAGAGGTAAGGGGTTGACATCTTGGTCCTAGGAATGTGGGTGGAGTCCACAACCCCTACCTGACTTCTTCCCCTCAACACTTTAGGTGGAAGGCCTTGATCCTGACAATGTTCGGGCCATGGTTCGTCTGGCTGTGGGGAGCCGGGTGGTGACTGTTAGTGAGTACTACCTGCGGCCTGTCTCCCAGCAGGAGTTTGACAAGAACACCTTGGATCTCAGTGAGTGAGCCTCTTGTAGAGCTAGGGGAGTTGGCAACGCATTCCTAGGGGTGGCAGGGCCTGGCTAATGGGGTGGTTTTAGATCTGCAGCAGGGAGGGGCAGCAGTGTGCCTGGCAGATATGACTTCCAATCAGAGGTCAGGAGGTGAGAATGGACATAAGTGACTTACTCCATTTGATTGGAGAAAGGTCGATGTCATACCCCTGGGTCTGTAGCCTGTCTGAGTGAGAAGAAACAGGTGCAGAAACCAATTCCTACCTTCGAGATCTTTGTCCATTTGGGGTGATGAACCTCTCTTTTACTAGGGAGTGAGAACTGCTAGGATTAGGGTGTGACCAAGAAGGAAGGAATTCTAGGCAGACAGAACAGCACAGGCGAAGGCGTTTCGGTAGGACGGGGCAGTTTGGCAAATGGGTACAGACAGAGCTCTCTGGGAATCTCTAGTCCACACTAGGTGAGCATTGTTGTTGTGGGCTAGGTTGGCTGCGGGAGGGTTCCTGAAGGAAGCTGAAATGGTTGAGAGGTGGGGGAGAGGCATTCTACTAGCAAATGCATGAGGGGTGAGAGGGGCACTTTGGCAGGTGGGAGGTGGCTCTAGGCTGAGACATGGCCTTGGAAGGAAAGGGCAGTGAGACACTGAGGCTCTGTCCTGGTTCTCCTCATAACCTCTTGAACAGGCCAGATGAGCAAAACTTCCTTCCCCAGGGCAACAGAACGGAACTGCCTCATCACGGAAGACCCTCTGGAATCAAGAACTCTACATCCAGCAGGACAACTCAGAGAGGAAGCGGAAACACCTTCCAGACCGGTGGGACTCTGAGCATGCGGGAGGGGTCAAGAAGGCAGGGCTGTGGGTAGGCTCGAGCAGCCAGGGAAGGCTTCCAAGGCAAGGCGGGCTCATAGAAGGAACGGGGAACTGCATTGTGGGTGGGTTTCATAGCATAGGCAAAGGGAGGGCAACTGGAAAGTGCATCTGATGAAGAGCTAAGCCTGGTGCTGGCACCTTCTCCACAGACAGGATGGGCCTGCAGCCAAGAGTGAGAAAGCAGCCCCCAGAAGTCAGCACTGGTTGCACAGGGACCTGCGTGTGCGGTTTGTGGACAACATGTACAAAGGAGGCCAATATTACAACACCAAGGTGGGAACCCTGCAGCCTGAGTCCCCCTCCCTCTCCTAGGGACTGGGCCCCCCTACCTCTCTAAAATCTCACATCCCCCTGACCTGTATCCCCAGATGATAATTGAAGATGTCCTAAGCCCAGATACCTGTGTATGTCGGACAGATGAAGGCCGAGTCCTGGAAGGTGAGTTTGAGCGATGGCAGCTGGAGGTTGATCAAGAAGAGTGTTTTAGGCCCAGAGCCTGGCCCAGGCAAAGCTGGGAGGTTTGGCAGAGTTCAGGTATTTTGCAAGGCCTAGCATCCTCTTACAGAACATTAGACACTTCCATGATGGTGGTTGGTTATCTTGAGCCCCACTCTCCCAGTCTGTCAAGTTTTCTTTTTTTTCTTTTTTTTTTTTTTTGAGACAGAGTCTCACTCTGTCACCCAGGCTGGAGTGCAGTGGCGTGATCTCAGCTCACTGCAACCTCCACTTCCCAGGTTCAAGCGATTTTCCTGCCTCAGCCTCCCGAGTAGCTGGGATTACAGGCAAGCGTCACCACACCTGGCTAATTTTTGTGTTTTTAGTAGAGACAGGGTTTCACCATGTTGACCATGCTGGTCTTGGAACTCCTGACCTTAAGTGATCCTCCCACCTCGGCCTCCCAAAGTGCTGGGATTACAAGCGTGAGCCACCGCGCTCGGCCTCCGGTCTGTCAAATTAGCATGGAATTTACTATTTCTTCCTCTTGTGATTGGTGCCTTAGTGAAGGAATGTGTATTGAGCTCTCAGTGCAGGGCAGGGGTTAAAACATGCCCACAATAAAAGGTGCCTGTTGTTATCACCACCACCCTTTATTACAGTGATTTTTGTAAACTACTCCTTAGGCTACCTCATCTGTGAAATGGATGTGGCGGGACTCCCATCTGTCAACAGGGTGTAGAGTGGCTCCAGGGAATACAGGAAAGGCCCTTCTTTTTTTTTTTTTTTTTTTTTTTTTTTTTTTTGAAACAGAGTCACTCTGTCACCCAGGCTGGAGTGCAGTGACGCAATCTTGGCTCACTGCAACCTCCGCCTCCCGGGTTCAAGCTATTCTTCTGCCTCAGCCTCCTGAGTAGCTGGAACTACAGGTGCCCGCTACCACACCCAGCTAATTTTGGTATTTTTAATAGAGACAGGTTTTCACCATATTGGCCAAGCTGGTCTTGAACCCCTTACCTCGTGATCCTCCTGCCTCAGCCTCCCAAAGTGCTGGGATTACAGGCATGAGCCACCACACCCAGCTGAAAGGCCCTTCTTTTTTTTTTTTTTCTTTTTTTTTTTTTGAGATTGGGTCTCATTTTATCACCTATGCTGGAGTGCAGTGGCACCATCATGGATCACTGCCACCTCAAATTCCTGGTTTCAAGCCATCCTCTCACCTCAGCCTCCTGAGTAGCTGGGACTGCAGGCACTGACCACCATGCCTGGCTAATTTTAAAATTTTTTGTAGGCTGGGCGCGGTGGCTCATGCCTGTAATCCCAGCACTTTGGGAGACCGAGGAGGGTGGATCACCTGAGGTCAGGAGTTTGAGACCAGCCTGACCAACATGTCAAAACCCCATCTCTACTAAAAATACAAAATTAGCCAAACGCAGTAGTGGGTGCCTGTAATCCCAGCTACTCAGGAGGCTGAGGCAGGAGAATCGTTTGAACCCAGGAGGCGGAGGTTGCAGTGAGCCAAGACCACACCATTGCACTCCAGCCTGGGCAACAAGAGCCAAACTCAGTCTCAAAAAACAAAACAAAAAAATCTGTAGAGATGAGGTCTGACCATCTTGCCCAGGTTGGTCTCGAACTCCTGGGCTCAAGCGATCCTCCCAACTTAGCCTCCCAAAGTGCTGGGACTACAGGTGTGAGCCACCACGCCTGGCCAGGAAAGGCCCTTCTGACAGGACGCTGGTTGGGCTGGTCCTTGCTGTGGGCCTCACTCCCCTCTCCCTTATCCATAGGCCTGAGGGAAGACATGCTGGAGACCCTGGTTCCCAAGGCAGAGGGTGACCGTGTGATGGTGGTGCTGGGCCCACAGACTGGAAGGGTGAGTCTCAGACCTGGCAGTAGAGGTTTGTGGGTCGTTCAGGGCCTGTCCCAGGGTCTAGGCTTGCCTTGCTGATTCCACTTCACCTCTGTTCCAGGTGGGACATTTGCTGAGCCGGGACAGAGCACGGAGCCGGGCTTTGGTGCAACTGCCAAGAGAAAATCAGGTGGTGGAGCTTCACTACGATGCCATCTGCCAGTACATGGGCCCTAGTGACACAGATGATGACTGACCCATGGGACTCCTCCCATCCCCCAGGCTGGTACCAGTTCTGTACCATATGAGAAAGTTGCCTTCAGAAGGTGGGAAGATCATTGTTCCATCCTCTACTTCTGGTGCAGTCCTGGGACAAGGACAAGGGAAAGGGATGGGTGAACCAGTAGGGAAGCTAGAAACAAACCCAATATTTACCAAAATTTAGGGTATAATAAAAACCATTTCAAGTACTTAATAGAAAGATGAAATCATAAGTGGTATGATGAGCTGCGAGTTAAGGTGGGAACTGAGTTGACTGAGGTGGGAACCATTTCACTTTTCAGCCTTGCTTTTCTGCTCAGGGTACAGGACAAGTTAAAGGACTCATTTGATTGTGAGCTCACTCTTGGAATATAGATACTATAAGCTTGGGCACAGTGGTGCATGCCTGTAATCCTAGCACTTTAGGAGGCTGAGGTGGATGGATCGCTTGAGCCCAGGAGTTCAAGATCAGCCTGGCCAACAAGGTGAAACCCTGTCTCTACTAAAAGTATAAAAATACAAAAAATTACCGAGGTATGGTGGTGCACGCCTATAATCCTAGCTACTCAGGAGGCTGAGGCAAGAGAATCGCTTGAACCCAGGAGGCAGAGGTTGCTGTGAGCCCAGATTGCGCCACTGCACTCCAGCCCAGGGGACAGAGTTAGACTCTGTCTCAAAAAAAAAAAAAAAAATCTTTAGATGCTGTGGAATCTGAAATACTGTATCTCTGAACAACTTTCTGAGCAAGAACTCTAGCAACTAGCAGCAGAGTATGCTTTCACTCTCAGTTTAGAGCAGGACCCCAGAGAATATGCTGAGCCTGGGGTCTTCCTCTGTTGCCCAGACTGGAGTGCAGTGGTGCAATCATAGCTCACAGCAGCATTGATCTCCTGGGCTCAAGCGATCTTCCCGTCTCAGCCTCCCAAAGTGCTGGGATTATAGGCACTGGAATGAGCCACCGTGCCTGGTCTCTGGCTTGTATTTTGTTAATCGTAGGGAGGATGTTCCCAACTTCTCATGTCCAGTAGTCCATTTCCTATGCTTTATGCACTTCACTCTGTCAAGGAGGCCTCCTCCTTTCTCCAATCATAATAAACCAGCCTTGGTAGCACCTTTGAGAAGGGCTAAAGCTCCCCAGGGAATGGCACTGGGGCTCTGTCTCTGCCTGTAACACAACATAACCTGGCCATTTCAGACACCCTCCATCTCCTCCCCGTGCCACAATGCTAAAGCAGATATCTCATCAGCTTCAGATTTCCTGGAATTCATCTTTCTCCTAAGCCTACGCTTGAAAATGGGGCCCAAAGTTCTTGAATATGGCCCTTTGTCCAGAACACCTAGCTCCAGCCAAAGCGCCTGGTCTCCCTTGACAGGCCACTGGGACTTTTTCTGCTTTACCTTGAAAGGAGCCCTGCTGATCCCCATTTTGAGGACAGGGCTCCTTACATTCAGGGAAGTGTGGACAATATAAGGAGGCCTTCCCAATATGCCCTTTGTTCACTGTGCACAAACAAAGCCTTGTATCTGAAGACACTTTGAATCTGTGCAGTGTTCTCTCAGCTTGCTGCCTGGCACCTGCCTGCTGCCAAAGTTGCTCTTGCGGCAGTGGTTACTGCAGCAACGGCTTCTGTGAGCCCGAGAATTCTCTACAGGCCCCTCACAAGCTGGGGACTGTGACCTGTACAATTTGTCCAGACTGGCTTTTTTCACATCACAGGGATTGAGCAAGAGGTAGATTAAAAGGCATCTGCCTCTTCTGCCAAGCCCCCAGAAGTTTCCCTGGCAGGGGTCTGCTTCTGTTAAAAATTGTCCAGATGCCAAGCCTTGAATTTGTAGCAGCAGACTCAGGAAGCAGTTTCTTTGCCTTTCAGAGAGGAGTCAATTATTGAGGTGCTGTGGGTTGCTGTCTGGGCTGTGTTCAGTGGCAGATATGGACAGGTCAGCTCTTCTTTTAAAAAATTTTTTTTAAATAATTTTTTATTTTAAATATAAGAGAGACAAGGTCTCACTATATTGCTCAGGCTGGTCTTGAACTCCTGGGCTCAAGTGATCTTCCCATCTTGGCCTTCCAAAGTGCTGGGATTATAGGCATGAGCCACCACTCCTGGCCTCAGCTCTTTTTTTTTTTTTTTTTTTTTTTTTTTTGAGATGGAGTCTTGCTCTGTCGCCCAGGCTGGAATGCAGTGGCGTGATCTTGGCTCACTGCAACCTCCACCTCCCAGTTTCAAGTGATTCTCCTGCCTCAGCCTCCTTAGTAGCTGGGATTACAGGCGCATGCCACCATGCCCGGCTAATTTTTGTATTTTTAGTAGAGACGGGGTTTCACAGTGTTGGTCAGGCTGATCTCAAACTCCTGACCTCGTGATCTGCCCACCTCGGCCTCCCAAAGTGCTGGGTTTACAGACATGAGCCACCATGCCCAGCCTCAGCTCTCTTTTCTAACATTCCTTCCTCAGTCAAGGGAATGCTCCCCTCTACTCCCACACTGAGGCCACCTCTTCATCTCCATGTCTGCAGCACCACGCAGAGGGATGAAGTATCCAACAGCTTCTAAAGCTATCTAAGTGGGGGCGGGTCCTCACCAAGTCCCCTATCACACCAATTCATTCAACAAACATCTCTTGAGCTCCTACTGAATGCCAGGTACCATCCTGCATGCTAGGGGAACCGTATGGAGTAAATCACTTAATATCAAGACCCTACTATATGCCAGGCAGCATCCTGGGTACCGAGTATGGAGCTACAAACAAAACAAACATCCTTGCCCTTGTGGGGCTGACACTCCACTGGGGCTGAGACAGTGAGCAATAAGCAGAAGTAAGTGATGGAAGATGTTATAAGAAGCTGAGAACCATGGGGGAAAGGGGCAGTATTAATAGGATGGCCACAGAAAGCCTTAGAGAGAAGGTGACATTAAGCAACGGTATTAAGGAAGTAAGGGATGGTCATGCAGCTATCTGGGGAAAGCGGTCTAGACAGGGGAAATGAAGTGCAAAGGCCCTGTGGTAGCACTGTTGCTAGCATGTGTGAGGAACAGCCGGGAGGCTGGTGTGGCTGCAGGGGAGTAAGTGAGGGAGAAGGTGGTAGGAGGTCAGGTCAGGGAGATCCTGTAGTGCTGTAAGGTCAGTCCACTGGAACTACTATGGCTTTTGTTCTGACTGAAGTGGAAATCATGAGAAGCCTCCATATAGCCACTGCTAAAGACTGCCAGTTGACAACTCCCCACTTGCCATACACCCCCCACCATGTGCACACAGAACCACTCTAAATACATTTGTTCCTCTGGTGCTTTGGTCAATCTAGCTGATTTCCATTGTTGGGAACACAGATTTTCCCATTAGATGCCCAGCAAGGCTTCCTTTTTTTTTTTTTTTTTTTTGGAGACAGGGTCTCACTCTGTCTCCCAGGCTGATTGTGCAGGGACACAATCATGGCTCACTGCAGCCTTGATCTCCTGGGCTCAAGCAATCTTCCTGCCTACTGAGTAGCTGGGACTACAGGTGTGTGCCACCACGCCCAGCTAATTTTTTAAAAATTTTTTGTAGAGGCCAGGAGCACTGGCTCACGCCTATAATCCCAGCACTTTGGGAGGCCAAGGTGGGCAGATCACCTGAGGTCAGGAGTTTGAGACCAGCCTGGCCAACATGGTGAAACCCCATCTCTACTAAAAAGGCAAAAATTAGCCAGGCGTGGTGGCGTGCACCTGTAATCTCAGCTACTTGGGAGGCTGAGACAGGAGAATCGTTTGAACCCGGGAGGGGAAGGTTGCAGTGAGCTGAGATTGCGCCATTGCACTCCAGCCTGGGCAATAGGGCGAGACTTCATCTCAAAAGAAAAAAAAATAAATCATAACCGCCCCATGTGATGGCATTAGGGGTGAGGCCTTTGGGAGGTAATTAGGTCACAAGGGCAGAGCCCTCATAGATGGGATCAGTGCCTTAAAAGGCATCCCAGAGACTCTCGTCCTCTTTCAGCTATGTGAGAATACAAGAAGTCAGTAGTCTGCAGCCTAAATATCTTGCTTCATCTTTGGTGTTTCTGAACTGTATAAAAGTATACATCTTAGGCTGGGCACAGTGGCTTACGCCTGTAATTCCAGCACTTTGGGAGGCCAAGGCAGGCAGATCATGAGGTCAGGAGATCGAGACCATCCTGGCTAACACGGTGAAACCCCATCTCTACTAAAAATACAAAAAATTAGCCAGGTGTGGTGGCGGGCGCCTATAGTCCCAGCTACTCGGGAGGCTGAGGCAGGAGAATGGCGTGAACCTGGGAGGTGGAGCTTGTAGTGAGCCGAGATCGCGCCACTGCACTCCAGCCTGGGCGACAGAGCGAGACTCCGTCTCAAAAAAAAAAAAAAAAAAAAAGTATACATCTTAGTCTGTTTTGTGCTGTTGTACCAAAATACATGACACTGGGTAATTTATAAAGAATAGAAATTTATTCCTTATAGTTCTGGAGGCTGGGAAGTCCAAGATCTAGGTGCAGCATCTGGCCAGGGTCTTCTTGCTGTGTCATTCCATAGTGGAGGGGGAAAGAGTAAGAGAGGGCCAGAGAGGGGGCTGAACCCATTTTATTATGAGAAACCCACTCCCCACTCCCATAATAACAGCAGTAATCCATTCATGAGGCCTCTTGATTACCACTTTTTTTTTTTGGCTTAAACAACAGAAATTTATTTTCTCACAGTTCTGCAGGCTAGAATTCCCAGAACAAGGTCTGTCAGGGTCATTTCTGATGAGGACTCTTTTCCTGGCTTGCAGATTACCTCACTATGTTCTCACGTGGTAGAAAAAGACTCTCTCTCTCTCTCTCTCTCTCTTGCTTGCTTGATGACCTCTTAAAGATCTCACCTCTTAATACTGTTACAATGGCAATTACATTTCTTTTTCTTTTTCTTTTTTTGAGGCAGAGTAGTGCTCTGTCACCTAGGCTAGAGTGTAATGGTACGATCTCAGCTCACTGCAACCTCCACCTCCCAGGTTCACGCGATTCTCCTGCCTCAGCCTCCCGAGTAGCTGGAATTATAGGTGCCCGCCACCATGCCCGGCTAATTTTTGTATTTTTAGTAGAGATGGAGTTTCACCACGTTGGTCAGGCTGGTCTCAAACTTCTGACCTCAGGTGATCCACCCACCTTGGCCTCCCAAAGTGCTGGGTTTGAGAGGTACAAGTCATCAAACCATAACACTATGTAATCTTTGGAAACTTACTTTTTCCCCACTGGACATTCTAGATTTATCTTTTTTTTGTTTTTGTTTTTGTTTTTTTTGAGACAGGTTCTTGTTCTTTTGTCCAGGCTGGAGTGCAGTGCTGCAATCATAGGTCACTGCTGCCTCAAACTCAAGTATTCCTCGCCCCTCAGCCTCTTGAGTAGTTGGGACTACAGGTGCATCCCACCACACCTGGCTAATTTTTAAATTTTTAATAGAGACAGAGTCTCGCCATGTTGCCTATGCTGGTCTTGAACCCTTGGCCTCAGGCGATCCTCCTGCCCTAGCCTCTCAAAGTGCTGGGATTACAGGCATGAATCACTGCACCCGGCTTCTGGTTTTCTTTTTGTTTTTTTGTTTGTTTTGAGACAGTCTCGCTCTGTCACCCAGGCTGGAGTGCAGTGGCACAATCTTGGCTCACTGCAACCTCCACCTCCCAGATTGAAGCGATTCTCCTGCCTCAGCCTCCCGAGTAGCTGGGATTACAGGTGCCCGCCACCCAGGTAATTTTTGTATTTTTAGTAGAGACAGGGTTTCTCCATGTTGGCTAGGCTGGTCTCGAACTCCTGACCTCAGGTGATCCGTCCATCTCAGTCTCCCAAAGTGCTGTGATTACAGGCGTGAGCCACCACACCCAGCCGGCTTTCTCTTAACACTCATGTAGCACTTGATGTGTGTGTCAGGCACTGTTCTGTCCCCTTTACATTCACAATCCTTTATTTATTTGTTTGTTTATTTATTTATATTTTTGAGACCAAGCCTCACTCTGTTGCCCAGGCTGGAGTACAGTGGCACGATCTCAGCTCACTGCATCCTCTGCCTCCCAGGTTCAAGTGATTATCCTGCCTCAGCCTTCCAAGTAGCTGGGTTTACAGGCCCCTGCCACCACACCTGGCTAATTTTTTTTTTTTTTTTTTTTTTTTTTTTGTATTTTTAGTAGAGACGAGGTTTCACCATGTTAGCCAGGCTGGTCTTGAACTCCTGACCTCAGGTGATCCACCCACCTCGGCCTCCCAAAGTGCTGGGATTACAGGCTTGAGCCACTGTGCCCAGCCCACAATCCTTTAAATCATTTAAATCCTCATAATGGCCTGTGGGATACACACTGTTACCATGTCCATTTTACATATGAGGGAACTGAGGCACCGAGTGGTTAAATGATTTGCATGATAGTTCTAGCTGGCAAGCAGAGAGCCAGGATTGTAAGCCAGGCAGACCGGGCATGAGTGCACATTCTTGTCCCTCTGCTTCACGCCGTCACTCCCAGCTGTTGCTATGATTCCTGTTTGCCTGTAGGGGTAGCTGTTCATTTATTTCCACTGCCATACAGCATTCCATGGTGTGCATGTGCAGCCTGGGTGTCCATATTCTCCTGTAACGGCCCTTTGGGCTGTTTCTGGTTCTTGCTGTTTGGAGTAACACTGCAGTGTTCACTCCCGCACATGTCTCCTGGTTCACATAGGCACGCAGACTCTCAGAGGGGAATCTGAGGGCGTAGGATTTGCATGTCTCTAACTTCTTCAGGTGATGCCAGACTATTTCCACAAGTGAATGCTAGCTCAGTCCCCAGGCCTCCCCAGGCCTCAGTTTCCCCATGTATTAGATAGGCCATTTGGGGACTTGAAGCTCTCAGATACAGGAACAGCAGTTTGGAGGAGCTGAGCAGGTCTGGGGTGTGACTGACATTCCCAGGTACCTGAAGGAGGAACTGCACATCTCCAGGTGGGACCTGCAGTCCTTCCTGGAAACTTCCATGGCTCCCCACACATGCAAGTTCAAAGCCTCTCTCCTGAACCTAGGTTCAGAGCCCCTTCTGCAGTGGTAGTTCCAACCTCCCTCCCATGTCCCCACTCACAGCTAAGCTTCGGGCCTGGAGCACCTCCAACCTGCTGATCAGGGCAAGTCCCAATGTGGCCTTCAAGGCCATTGCACATGTTCATTGTGACACTGTTCGCTGAGCAGTCACTGTGTGCTAGGCGTATCTGCAGCATCTGGACAGACGACACTAAATGGGTATTGAAGGATTGAATGAGGGATCAATAATGATATCCAGTTTGATTCAGTGGTTCCAGAGGTTTTTCTAAGTGCTTTCCATTTATTAACTCATCTCACATTCACAAATGACCCCATAAAGTAAGCACTATTGTTATCCCCATTGTACTGACAGGGAAGCTGAGGTCCAGAGGAGCTTGGGTGCCTTGCTCGAGGTCACACAGCTTGTGAGTGGTGGTTGGAGCTGAGGAAACGTGAGAAATTGTTGTTCCCAAGCTGTGAGGTGCCACATGGGGGCCAAGATAAAATTATTCTTTTTCTTTTTAGAGATAGGGTCTCACCATCATTCAGGTTGTAGTACAGTGGCGCAATCATGGCTCACTGCCACCTCCAACTCCTGGGCTTAAGGGATCCTCCCACCTCAGCCTCCTGAGTAGCTGGGTCTACAGGCCAGTGCCACCATGGTGGGCTAATTTTTAAAAGTTTTTATTTTCCATAGAGATTGGGCTTTGCCATTTTGCCCAGGCTGGTCTTGAACTCGTGGGCTGAAGCAATCCGGCTCCGTCAACCTCCCAAAGCCCTGGGATTACAGGCGTGAGCCACTGTGCCTGGCCTGTTCTCCATTTTTTTACTTCTTTCTCTGCGTCCAGATTGATCCCCTTGAACACTAATTTAGGGGACACTAAAAATCTGCTACATTTGCTGGTTATTTTCTAAATTAACATTTAAAAGTTGCGTATTTCCTTATCAAGGTATGAGAATGATTTAAAAAAAAAAAAAAAAAAAAAAACAAGGTCTGGCTCTATTGCCCAGGCTGGAGTGCAGTGGCGTGATCTCGGCTCACTGCAGCCTCCGCCTCCCAGGCTCAAGCCATCCTCTTCCTCCCACCTCAGCCTCCCGAGTAGCTGGGACCACAGGCATGTTCCACCGTACCTGGCTAATTTTTATATTTCTTGTAGAGATGAAATTTTGCTGTGTTGCTCAGGCTAGTCTCGAACCTCTGAACTCAAGGGATCTGCCCACGTCAGTCTCCCAAAGTGTTGGCCCGATTTTTGTTATTTTAGTACATAATGGAATGAGTTTTCCCATTATGGACTATAGTGATTTACTAATCATTTTAATATCACGTTTCATATCATTCATATTTTTTATTACTGTTGATTGGCATCAGTAATTTGGAGCTAGTATGTATGTCTGTCTGTATGTATGTATTTATTTATTTAGAGACAGTCTCACTCTGTTGCCAAGGCTGGAGTGCCATGGTGCAATCTCGGCCCATTACAACTTCTGCCTCCTGGGTTTCAAGTGATTCTTGTGCCTTAGCCTCTGGAGCAGCTGAGATTACAAGCATGGGCCACCATGCCCAGCTAATTTTTGTATTCTTAGTAGAGACAGGATTTCACCATGTTGGCCAGGCTGGTCTCAAACTCCTTACCTCAAGTAATCCACCTGCCTGGGCCTCCCAAAGTGCTGGAATTACAGGTGTGAGCCACTGCGCCTGGCCTTTGTTTTTTGTTTTTGTTTTTTTTTTGAGACAGATTCTTGCTCTGTTGCCCAGGTTGGAGTGCAGTGGCGTGATCTCGGCTCACTGAGGCCTCCACCTCCTGGGTTCAAGCAATTCTCTCACCTCAGCCTCCCAAGTAGCTGGGATTACAGGCCCATGCCACCACACCCAACTAATATTTGTATTTATTTTTTTAATAAGACGTGGTCTCACTCTGTCACCCAGATTGAAGTGCAGTGGCACAATCTCAGCTCACTGCAACTTCTGCCTCCCAGGCACAAGTGATCCTCCCACCTCAGCCTCCCCAGTAGCTGGGACCACAGGCACACACACCACCACGACAGACTAATTTTTTGTATTTTTAGTATAGATGGGGTTTCACCATGTTGGCCAGGCTGGTCTTGAACTCCTGGCTTCGGGTGATCCACACACCTCCCAAAGTGCTGGGATTACAGGCGTGAGCCACCACGTCCGGCCAGAGCTAGTTTGTTTTTTGTTTGTTTGTTGTTTTGGTTTTTGTTTGTTTGTTTTTGAGACAGAGTCTTGCTCTGTTGCCCAGGCTGGAGTGCAGTGGCACGATCTCAGCTCACTGCAACCTCTGCCTCCCAGGTTAAAGTGATTCTCCTGCCTCAGCCTCCCGAGTAGCTGGGATTACAGGCACCCGCCACCACACCTAGCTAATTTTTGTATTTTTAGTAGAGACGGAGTTTCACCATGTTGGCCAGGCTGGTCTCGAACTCCTGACCTCAGGTGATCAGCCCACCTCAGCCTCCCAAAGTGCTGGGATTACAGGCGTGAGCCACTGTGCCCAGCCGAGCTTGTTTGTTTTTTATGTGTCTCCATCAACTCTTGCTTTTCTGCACTGGATGCCAGTATTTGGTGAGGTAATACCTCAGAGATAATTTGCTCTCCTGGGCCTTCAAATAGACTTAAAAACAGCAGCTTTAATCCAGCTTTTCTGTTTGCTTGTCTGCACAGCTGGAAGCAGAAGTAATTTACTACACAGTAAACACCAGGAACGCCCAAGAACTGGGATAGACCCCATCACCTTCGTCTCCAACCTCCAGGGGCACCAGATGAATCACCTCCTGTTTATATCTTTTTTTTTTTTTTTGAGACAGGGTTCTTGCTTTGTCACCCAGGCTGGAGTGCACTGGCATGATCACAGTGCACTGCAACCTTGAACTTCCAGGCTTAAGCAATCCTCCCTCCTCAGCCCCTCAAGTAGCTGGGACTACAGGCACACACCACCATACCCGGATAATTTTTAAAATTTTTTTATAAAGACAGGGTCTTACTGTGTTGCTTAGGTGGGTCTCAAACTCCTGAGTGCAAGGGATCCTCCCATCTCAGCCTCCCAAAGTGCTTGCATTACAGGTGTGAGCCACTATGCCTGGCTTCCTGTTTATATCTTCTGTATTTTGCTTCTTTTTGGGAAGGCATTCCCTGCAAGATCCTGGTTGCCACACCTCAGGCCCTGAGTAGGTAATAAGACACAGGGCTGTCTTCCACACCCTGGCCCCACTGATTGAGTCCTACACATAGGGAAGGTCCAGCTGCTGTCCTTTAAAACCAAACTGAGGCCAAGATGGCAAAATTTACGTTGCTATATCCTCTTCCTCCCCTCACCGTACTATCCTCATGGCCCTCCGTACCCGACTGCGGGGTGCTTCCTGGGACAGGCCTGACATAAGGAAGTGTCATTTCCCAACCCTCAGATCCAGTACGCCCTTTTAGTAAGAAACATTTCGGCCGGGCGCGGTGGCTCATGCCTGTAATCTCAGCACTTTGGGAGGCCAAGGTGGGTGGATCAACTGAGGTCGGGAGTTCGAGACCAGCCTGACCAACATGGAGAAACCCTGTCTCTACTAAAAATACAAAATTAGCTGGGCGTGGTGGCACATGCCTGTAATCCCAGCTACTAGGGAGGCTGAGGCAGGAGAATCACTTGAACCTGGGAGGCAGAGGTTGCAGTGAGCCAAGATCGTGCCATTGCACTCCAGCCTGGGCAACAAGAGCGAAACTCCGTCTCAGAAAAAAAAAAAAAAAAGAAAAGGCCTCCTTTTACCATCCTGAAATGACATTCACATTCATGTACATTACAAGTCTTGCTGGTGTGGGACAGCCCCCCAGCACCAGACCTCTGCCCATTCAGTGCCAAAGCACCCTCAAGGAGGAATTCCCAAAACACACCCCGAGGGCAGGCAGGAACAGGACCCTTGTCTGTCTGGTTCAGCGCGGAATCCCCACCACCTAATACAAGACCCTGAATGCACTAAGTAAATAATTGCAGTCTGGATAACTATGCTGTGATTTACTGCCCTCTTCCTACAAAGCTTCCCTGTCCTCTGTTCACTGCCCCTGCGTGGGGAGCCAGAGAAGAAAAACGACTCAGGGTGCACAGGGGCCAGCTCCCTTGCACAGAGAGTTCTACACAGTTCACTGATGCTGTGGGCAAATGGATGCTTCAGGGGCCCTCTGTCCTGCCGGGGGCGGAATGAGGACAGGGTGAGCACAGAAAGGAGAGACATCTGTAGAGTCAGTGACGCATGGTCAGAACACAGAGTCCAGAGTGCACAGCCTGACCCTGGCCCTGGCTCTGCTCAGCTGTGTGCCTTCTGGTAACCCCTACAGGGCCTTAGGTCTCTCATCCAGAACGCAACGATGATAATAGTAGTTAAGGTTGTTGTGAAGACGCAGTGAAATTATTCACGTAATCAGGAGAGGTTGGCACGTGTTAAAATTATCCATTACTGGGTAATTTGGATCAACGAACTATCATTCCTGACGCCTAGATTCCCCCCGTCCCTCAAGCGCCTCCTCACCCTCCTCCCTCAGACTTCCAGGCTCCACCACCACTGGTGGATGGTCAAGAACCCAGAACAGGCGACCGACCTCTCTTTTTCTTTCCCCTGCTGCACAGCCCATCTCAGAGCTCCCTTCTGTGAGGCTCAGCCAGAGGCCTGCAGGGTTGGGACAGGCTCCTGGAGCCCTCCCCACCAACGAGAGGCCCCGGCCTACTCCCCTCACCTGCACAGGAAAACCCTGGCCCAGTCAGGGAACCAGAAATCTCCTCCCAGTCCTTACCTTGCCCTCACCCTCAGCCACCACCAACTACCCCTGGACGGGCGCCCCCTACATCCCTGCACCTCGGTCTGTGTGACCCCAGGAGTGCCCACTCCCCAATGTGTGTGCCCCTGTGGGTGTCCAAAGCCCTGTCTGTGTGACCCTAGGGGTGTCCACTCCCCAGCGTGTCCGACCCTCGGACCCCAGAGCCCGCAGCCCACAGCCTGGAATGGCCTGCCGCGCGCGGGGCAGGGACGCGCGCACGAAAGCGTCCACATGGAGCCACAACACTGGGCAGGGGCAGCCAACCCGGGCACACCTTTTTGTGTGGGGTAAGGAAAGAGCCCCTCCCCCGCGCGGGGCCCGGCATGCTCGTGCCCATCCCGTCCTGTTGGCACTCCCAGACCCGAGCGGCCCTCGGCCTCTCTCCCGCCCACCGCGTTGCCCTCTCCCCCGAAGGCTTAGTCTTGACCCAACCCTCCCGCCGCGGAACAAGCAACTGGCTTAAGGCCGGGGCGCGGTGGGCTCTGATTGGTCGATGACGATTGACGGTGATGATCTGATTGGTCGATGGTTGATTGGCGCTTCTCGGTAGCTGCCCGGGCGCGCCTCCGCCCCTGCGCTCCGGGCTCCCATTCGTCGCCGCTCTGGGGCATGCGCAGTGGGTGCCATTCAGTGCCTGGGCTCCGGGAAAGTCGTGCTTTTACGGTTCCGGGTACTGGCTCCCACACCACTGCCTCGTGTGGGGTTGTTCGCCCGTGAAGGGGCAGGACAGGGTGCGCGCTGGTGGAGGTTAGTGAGGTCACACACCGGGCCGTGGCGCCTGGTGCGCTGGGCGCTTCCACCTCAACCTTCGTAGCAAACCCAGCGGGGTTCTGTGCCTGCGCACCGTGGTTCCTGCGTTCATTTACTGTCCCGTTTCTCACTCCGGAAAGTGTGGCTTTGAGTTTGATCTGCAGGAGTAGGACGGGCACAGCGGGTGTCTGGTCTTCCTCGCACCATAAATCGCAGAGCGAGCCCTCTGTGGTCTCTGGATACAGTATACCAAAGTTAGATTAACTGTACTCCTTCTCACAAGCCGGTCCAACGTTTGCAGCAGTGAAAAAGCCCTAAGTGTCAGGGCCTTTGGCGAAGCCTGTGTAAGGGAATAAACACTTTCCCCAGTTTTCCAGGCGCAAACTGATGGTTTTGGAGCATTAAGGTCTGGTCGGATGGGGCAGGATGGCTGCGTTGACACGTCTTATTTAATCCACATCATAGGTAAGGTGACCACTTATCTTTTTACAGGTTGAAATTGTTACATTTTGGCCGGGCGCGGTGGCTCACGCCTGTAATCCCAGCACTTTGGGAGGCCGAGGCAGGTGGATCACGAGGTCAGGAGATCGAGACCATCCTGGCTAACACAGTGAAACCCCGTCTCTACTAAAAAAATACAAAAAATCAGCCGGGCGTGGTGACGGGCGCCTGTAGTCCCAGCTACTCAGGAGGCTGAGGCAGGAGGATGGCGTGAACCCGGGAGGCGGAGCTTGCAGTGAGCCGAGATCGCGCCAGTGCACTCCAGCCTGGGCGACAGAGCGAAACTACGTCTCAAAAAAAAAAAAAAAGAAAGAAAAGAAATTGTTACATTTTATATATATGTAAGTTGAAATGGAAGTATATATTGCAAGCATTATAAACGTATGCACCAATATGTATAAATCCATGATTTACAGGGATATAGATGCAGATGGAGCCGTGGGCCCAGTTCATTGCCCTGGGGTGAGTCACATGCTGAAGGGACAGGGGACTGTTGATCTTTTAACTGGGTGCCCAAAATGTTAGGAAGCCTGAGCCCTGAGGCCCCAGCTTTCACTAAGTGGGAAAAAATTCCCTTAATTAGCTTAGAAACTCCAATAGCGTAGTGCTGCCTCCACTGCTGAAAACAGCCAACCTTGATATCAGGTCTGGTCCCAAGAAACAACGTTGATATCAGGTCTGGTCCCAAGAAACAACGTTGATATCAGGTCTGGTCCCAAGAAACACTGTGTGTTTTTTTTTGTTTTTTTTTGTTTTTTTTTTTTTGAGACATAGTCTCGCTCTGTCGCCCAGGCTAGAGTGCAGTGGCGCGATCTCGACTCACTGCAAGCTCCACCTTCCGGGTTCACGCCATTCTCCTGCCTCAGCCTCCTGAGTAGCTGGGACTACAGGCGCCCGCCACCACGCCCGGTTAATTTTTTGTATTTTTAGTAGAGACAGGGTTTCACCGTGTTAGCCAGGATGGTCTCGATCTCCTGACCTCGTGATCCGCCTGCCTCAGCCTCCCAAAGTGCTGGGATTACAGGCATAAGCCACTACGCCCGCCCCAGAAACATTGTTCTTTCCTTTTCTCTTAGATTGTTATTTTATCCCTCTTTTCTCAGGAATGAGGAAAAAGGTTGCTATTTTAACTGTGAGTGTGTGGGAACTGGAGTACTGGGTAGCACTCTTCAAAGGTTCAGTTGAAGTCCGGGCAATTAGTCACCTCTGGATTTTTTTTTTTTGAAATGGAGTCTCACTCTGTTGCCATGCAGGAGTGCAGTGGTGTGATCTCGGCTCACTGCAACCTCTGCCTCCCGGGTTCAAGCGATTCTCCTGCCTCAGCTTCCCGAGTAGCTGGGACTACAGGCACGCACCACCACGCCCAGCTAATTTTTGTATTTTTAGTAGGGATGGGGTTTCACCATGTTGGCCAGGATGGTCTCAAACACCTGACCTCAGGTAATCCACCCACCTGGGCCTCCCAAAGTGCTGCGATTACTGGCATGAGCCACTGTGCCAGGCCCCTCCTCTGGATGTTTCTGAGAGTGGCTGGCTTTGTAACATGTATACTTCACTTTTGTATAATACTTTGTATATACTTCCGTTTCATATAATACTTTGTATATACTTCAGTTTCGCCACTCAGATGCCATAGGAAGTGAGGGGTGCATTGTTTTTGTTTGGGATTTTGTTCTAAAGATTACAGTATAACCAAACATACAATAAGCTATATTAACTCATTTTTTGGTGGGGGGGTAGAGACAGGGTATTTCTTTGTCACCCAGGCTGGAGTATAATGGTGAAGTCATGGCTCACTGCAGTCTGGACAGCCTGTGCTCAAGCCATCCTCCCACCTCAGCCCCCCAAGTAGCTTGGAGTACAGGTGCGCCACGCTACACCTGGCTAATTTTTTACTTTTTGTAGAGATGAGGTCTCACAATGTTGCCCTGCTGGTCTCAAATTTCTGCGTTCAGGCAATCCTCCTGCCTCAGACTCCCAAAGTGCTGGAATTACAGGCATGAGCCACTGCACCCAGCCTTTATTACCTTTTTTTTTTCTTTTTTTTTTTAAGATAGGTTCTCCTTCTGTTGTCCAGGCTGGAGTTTAGTGGCACGGTCTTGACTCACTGCAACCTCCGCCTCCCAGGTTCAAGCAATTCCCGCACCTTAGCCTCCCGAGTAGATGGGATTTACAGGTGCTCGCCACCACTCCTGGCTAATTTTTGTATTTTTAGTAGAGACCAGGTTTTGCCATGTTGGTCAGGCTGGTCTCAAACTCCTGACCTCAAGTGATCCGCCCACCTCAGCCTCCCAAAGTGCTGGGATTACAGGCATGAGCCTCCATGCCCTGCAGTATTATCTTTTTTAAAGAGAGAGTACTTGAGGCCAGGAGTTTGAGACCAGTCTGGGCAATGTGAGACACCGTCTCTACAAAAATTACAAAAAATTAGCCCAGTTTGGTGGTACACACTTGTGGTCCCAGCTACTCAGGAGGCTGATGTGGGAGGATCACTTAAGCCTTGCAATTAGAGGCCGCAGTGAGCCATGATCACACCACGGCACTCCAGCCTGGGCAACAGAGACCTCATCTCAAAAAATAAATAAATAGGCCGGGCACAGTGGCTCGTGCCTGTAATCCCAGCACTTTGGGAGGCCAAGGCAGGTGGATCACCTGAGGTCAGGAGTTCAAGACCGGCCTGACCAACATGGTGAAACCCCATCTCTACTAAAAATACAAAAAATAAGCCAGGTGTGGTGGCTAACGCCTGTAATCCCAACTACTCTGGAGGCCGAGACAGGAGAATCGCTTGAACCTGGGAGGCAGAGGTTGCAGTGAGCCGAGATTGCGCCATTGTACTCCAGCCTGGGCAACAGGAGCAAAATTCCATCTCAAAAAAAAAAATAATAATAATAATAATACAAAAATTAGCTGGGGGAGGCCAGGCGCGGTGGCTCATGCCTGTAATCCCAGCACTTTGGGAGGCCGAGGCGGGCAGATCACCTGAGGTCAGGAGTTCAAGACCATCCTAACCAACATTGTGAAACCCCATCTCTACTAAAAATACAAAAAATGAGCTGGGCATGGTGGCACGTGCCTGTAGTCCCAGCTACTCGGGAGGCTGAGACAGGAGAATCGCTTAAAACCAGGAGGTGAAGGCTACAGTGAGCCCAGATCACGCCACCACACTCCAGCCTGGCGACAGAGCGAGACTCTGTCTCAAAAAAAAAAAAAAACAATTAGCTGGGGCTAGTGGTGGGCGCCTGGGCGACAAAAGTGAAACTCCATCTCAAATAAATAACAGAAACACACCCTTTCTTATCTGTTGTGCATACTTAACTAAAAGAAACACACCCAAAAGTATTTACAAATAAAGAAGATGGGGGAGGAAAAGAAAATCTTTAGCTTATTAATAAAAGAATGGGTCTATTTGAAAAGTACAAATGCTAAAAAAAAAAAGTGCTTCAATGTATATAGCTTGCCTTTTAAGTCTGTAGCCATTTAAATTATAAGAATTTCATCATTTGCTGGCCAGGCGCAGTAACTCACACCTGTAATCCCAGCACATTGGGAGACCGAGGTGGGCGGATCACGAGGTCAAGAGATGGAGACCATCCTGGCCAACATGGTGGAACCCCATCTCTTATTAGCCGAGCATGGTGGTGTGCACCTGTAGTCCCAGCTACTTGAGAGGCTGAGGCAGGAGAATCGCTTGAACCCAGGAAGCGGAGGTTGTAGTGAGCCGATATTGTGCCACTGCACTCCAGCCTGGCGACAGAGCGAAACTCAGTCTCAAAAAATAAAAATAAAAAATGTCATCACTTGCCAAGCCTGGTGGCTCATGCCTGTAATCCCAGCACTTTGTGAGGCTGAGGCAGGAGGATTACTTGAGTCCAAAAGATTGAAGCTGCAGTGAGCTGTGATTGGGCCACTGCCCTCTAGCCTGGGCAACAGAGCAAGACCCTATTCAACAATAACAAAAAAAGGAATTAGGTGATGGGAAATGCCTACCATTTGAATCTATAAAGATAAGCAAGGCAGGGTGCAGTGGCTCACGCCTATAATGCCAACATTTTGGGAGGCTGAGACAGGAGGATCGCTTGAGCTCCAGAGTTCAAGACCAGCCTGGGCAACATAGTGAGATCTAGTCTCTACAAAAATAAACAAATTTAGCTGGGTGTGGTGGTGCGTGCCTGTAGTCTCAGCTACATGGGAGGCTGAGGTGGGAGGATTGAGTGAGCTCAGGAGGTTGAGACTGCAATGAGCCATGATTACGCCACTGCACTGCGGCCTAGGTGACAGCAAAACCTGTCTCAAAAAAGAGAGAGAGAGAGATAAGCAAGAGTTACTCATGATGCTTGGACTTGGGGGAAGATGCCAACTCTGGCACATGTCAGTTACTACATAAAAAGTCAAGTGCAATGTCAAATCCAGAGCATCAAGAGGAAAAAAAGTTCAGTTCCCAAGAGAACATGGATAGCTTAATAATGTAAAACTTGGCCGGGCAGGGTGGCTCATGCCTGTAATCCCAGCACTTTGGGAGGCCGAGGTGGGTGGATCACAAGGTCAGGAATTCAAGACCAGCCTGGCCAACTTATTGAAACCCTATCTCTACTAAAAAAAAAAATACAAAAACAATAGCCAGGCTTGGCAGCTGGCGCCTGTAATTCTAGCTACTCAGGAGGCTGAGGCAGAGAATTGCTTGAACCCGGGAGGCGGAGGTTGCAGTGAGCCCAGATCACGCCATTGCACTCTAGCCTGGGTGACAGCGAGATGCCGCCTCAAAAAAAAAAAAAAAAAAAAAAAAGGCCGGGCACGGTGGCTCACACCTGTAATCCCAGCACTTTTGGAGGCCAAGGTGGGCGGATCATGAGGTCAGGAGATCGAGACCATCCTGGCTAACATGGTGAAACCCCGTCTCTACTAAAAATACAAAAAATTAGCTGGGCGTGGTGGCGGGCGCCTGTAGTCCCAGCTACTCGGGAGGCTGAGGCAGGAGAATGGCGTGAACCTGGGAGGAAGAAGTTGCAGTGAGCCGAGATCGTGCCACTGCACTCCAGCCTGGACAACAGAGCAAGACTCCATCTCAAAAAAAAAAAATTAGCCGGATGTAGTGGTGTGAACCTATAGTCTCAGCTACTCAGGAGGCTCGCCCGCCTTGGCCTCCCAAAGTTCTGGGATTACAGGTGTGAGCCACCGTGCCCAGCCTGTATTTTCTGTAGAGATGGAATTTTGCCATGTTGCTCAGGCCAGTCTCGAACTCCTGGGCTCAAGCAATCCTCCCACCTTGTCCTCCCAAAGTGCTGGGATTACAGGTGTGAGGCACCATGCCCAGCCGCAACAGTAATTTTCACAAATTACTGAAGTCAAGTAGCCAATTTTGATTCATGAAAGTGATATCACTGTAATTCTTCTAAACTTTCACTGAAATGCATGCTCCCTTTGCAGAGGGAAAGCTGGGTTAAGAGATGTCCAGGATGGTCGGGCTCGGTGGCTCATGCCTATAATCCCAGCACTTTGGGAGGCCAAGGCAGGCAGATCACCTGAGGTCGGGAGTTTGAGACCAGCCTGACCAACATGGAGAAACTCCATCTCTACTAAAAATACAAAATTAGCCAGGCGTGGTGGTGCATGCCTGTAATCCCAGCTACTAGGGAGGCTGGGGCCAAGCTGGTCTTGCACACCTGACCTCAGGCGATCTGCCTGCCTCCACCTCCCAAAGTGCTGGGATTGCAGGCTTGAGCCACCGTGCCCAGCCCTATGAATTATTTCAAATGCGTTAGATCCACCTAATCAAAATTCTGTCATTCAACATATAATTTTGAGTGCCAACTATGTCTCAAGGTCAGTGTTCAGCCCTACAGTAAACAACATGGACAGAGCTGCTGCCTTCACAGAACCTCCATCTAAGGAGCAGGTGAATATACCACCAGGCCGTAATTGGTTGCTTAGCTCCAAAATAGCGAATTTAGGGTCAATTAAGATAATAATCTACTAACTGTAATGACATCTCTAGAGTATTGTGTCTTTTAAAGTACAGTTATAGCCTGGGCAACGTGGGGAAACCCCGTCTCTACAAAAAAAAAAATTTTTTTTCTTTGAGACAGTCTTATTTTTTCACCCAGGCTGGAGTGCAGTGGGGCGATCTCAGCTCACTGCAACCTCAAACTCCCGGGTTCAAGCAATTCTCATGTCTCAGCCTCCTAAATAGCTGGGATTACAGGCGTACACCACCACGCATGGCTAATTTTTGCAATTTTAGTAAAGACGGGATTTTGCCATGTTGGCCAGGCTGGTCTCGAACTCCTGGCCTCAAGTGATCTGCCTGCCTTGGCCTCCCATAGTGCTGGGATTACAGGTGTGAGCCACCGCACCTGACCCCTCCTGTCTCTCTTAACACACATTGCCTCCTTATAGAGGTTCAGGCACCATGCTGAGCCTGGGAGGTAATACAAAAATGAATGAGTGGACCTTGTGGGTTCCATGCTAGTTAAAGACACCCTATGAGACCAGCCTGGCCAACATGGTGAAACCTTGTGTCTACTAAAAATACAGAAAATAGCCAGGCATGGTGGTGTGTGCCTGTAATTCCAGCTACTGGGGATGCTGAGGCAGGAGAATCGCTTGAACCCAGGAGGTGGAGGTTGCAGTGAGCTGAGATCACACCACTGCACTCCAGCTTGGGCGATAGAGTGAGACTCCATCTCAGAAAAAAAAGACACCCCGGGCCAGGCAAGGTGGGTCACACCTGTAATCCCAGCACTTTGGGGAACAAGGTGGGAGAATCACTTGAGTCCGGCAGTTTGAGACCAGCCTGGCCAACATAATGAGACCGCATCTTCACAAAAAATATGTTTTAAAAAGCTGGGCATGGTGAAGTGTGCCTGTAGTCCCAGCTACTTGGGAGGCTGAAGTGGGAGTATTGCCTGAGCCCAGGAGTTCGAGGCTGCAGGCTGCAGTGAACTATGATCACACCACTGCACTCCAGTGTGGGTGACAGAGGGAGACCCTGACTCATTAAAAAAAAAAAAAAAAAAGAAGGCTGATTGTGGTGGCTCACGCTTGTAATCCTAGCACTCTGGAAGACTGAGACAGGAAGATTACTTGAGCCCAGTGGTTCAAGATTAGCCTGGGCTGGCCGGGCTCAGCGGCTCAAGCCTGTAATCCCAGGGAAGAGAATTGCTTGAACCCAGGAGGTGGAGGTTGCAGTGAGCTGAGGTCGTGCCATTGCACTCCAGCCTGGGTGACAAGAGCAAAGTTCCGTCTCAAAAAAAATATAGCCTGGGCAACATAGTGAGACCTCAAGACCCCATCTCTATTAAAAGAAAACAAAGTATCCAGCTTAAAAACATAATACTGGCCAGGCACAGTGGCTCACACCTGTAATCCCAGCACTTTGGGAGGCCGAGGTCAGATCGAGACCATCCTGGCCAACATGGTGAAACCCCGTCTCTAATACAAAAATTAGCCAGGCATGGTGGTGGGCACCTGTAATCCCAGCTACTTGGGAGGCTGAGGCAGGAGAATGGCTTGAACCCAGGAGGCGGAGGTTGCAGTGAGCCGAGATGGCGCCACTGCACTCCAGCCTGGGTGACAGAGACTCCCTCTAAAAAACAAAACAAAAAAACCATAATACTAAGTGAAAAGAAACAGAATGAGGAAACACAGACCTGCGTGAGTTAGGATTGCAGTTCCCAAACTGTGTTGAGGCACCTCAGAGTGCCATAGTGAATTCTCAGGGACGCTGTAAGATGCTTTAAATTGTTTGAGGGAAATATATGGGTACTCAACATGTCAGATACCTCATAAACTATTCAAGGGAGTTCAAAGTTTCAAAGTTACATTGAACTACTTTTCTTTCAATGACATCTTTTTGCAAAGCTGGGTTTACAGCAGTTTCTGTGATAAAAAGCAAACACCTGACAAAAATCAGCATGGATAAAGTGATTTAGGTGATATCAGACAATCTGATTAAGGTTTGGGAAGGTGTGCAGAGTCTAACAAACATGCATCCATTAATAAGCAATTGTAGTTATTTAACAATTTTTTTTTCTATCTATGTGTTGTCGATTTTCTAAACTGCTACTATTTTTTTAGGACATAAATAGGTATTATATTTTGGTCCAAGCAGGTGGTGGGGGCAGGGCAAGTTAAAAAAAAAATTGGTCCAAGAAACAGAAGTGTTAGGTATTTGTTTTGAAAAAAAATAACATATGCATACACTCATGAAACCATCACCATAATCAAGATAGTGGACATATCATCATCTCCAAGTTTCCTCATGCCCCTTTGTAATTCCCTTCCTAACTGCCCCACCTCATCCCCAAGCAACCACGGATCTGCTTTGTTACTATAGCATACAAAATATAACAAAGTATACAAAATATAACAAAGTGTACAAAATATACTTTGTTATATTTTGCCTTTTTTTTTTTTTTTTTTTTTTTGAGATGGAGTGTTGCTCTGTTGCCCAGGCTGGAGTGCAATGGCGTGGTCTCGCTCACTGCAACCTCCGCCTCCCGGGTTCAAGCGATTCTCCTGCCTCAGCCTCCCGAGTAGCTGGGACTACAGGCAAGTGCCACCACGCCTGGCTAATTTTTTGTAGAGACGGGGTTTCACCGTGTTAGCCAGGATGGTCTCGATCTACTGACCTCGTGATCCACCCGCCTCAGCCTCCCAAAGTGCTGGGATTACAGGCGTGAGCCACCGCGCCTGGCATATTTTGCCTTTTTAAGAGTTTTATATAAGTGCATCTTAGTATGAACTCTTCTAAATTCCTTCTTTTTTTTTTTTTTTTTTTTTTTTTTTTTTGAGACGGAGTCTCGCTCTGTCGCCCAGGTCGGACTGCGGACTGCAGTGGCGCAACCTCGGCTCACTGCAAGCTCCGCTTCCCGGGTTCACGCCATTCTCCTGCCTCAGCCTCCCGAGTAGCTGGGACTACAGGCGCCCGCCACCGCGCCCGGCTAATTTTTTGTATTTTTAGTAGAGACGGGGTTTCACCTTGTTAGCCAGGATGGTCTCGATCTCCTGACCTCATGATCCACCCGCCTCGGCCTCCCAAAGTGCTGGGATTACAGGCGTGAGCCACCGCGCCCGGCCAATTCCTTCTTTCTTTTCTTTATTTTTGAGACGGAGTCTCGCTCTGTCGCCCAGGCTGGAGTGCAGTGGTGCGATCTCGGCTCACTGCAACCTCCACCTCCCGGTTTCAAGTGATTCTCTTGCCTCAGCCTCTGAAGTAGCTGGGATTACAGACGTGCACCATCACGCCCAGCTAATTTTTGTATTTTTGGTAGAGATGGGGTTTTGCCATGTTGGCCAGGCTGGTCTTGAACTCCTGAGCTCAAGTGATCCACCCGCCTCAGCCTCCCAAAGTGCTGGAATTACAAGCATGAGCCACCAAGACTAGCTCTCTCTAAGTTCTTTCACTCTATAAAAGTTATTGGAAGCCGGGCGCAGTGGCTCACACCTATAACCCCAGCACTTTGGGAGGCCGAGGCGGGCGGATCACGAGGTCAGGAGATTGAGGCTATCCTGGCTAACACGGTGAAACCCCGCCTCTACTAAAAATACAAAAAAAAGTTAGCTGGGCATGGTGGCGGGCGCCACTTGGGAGGCTGCGGCAGGAGAATGGCGTGAACCTGGGAGGCAGAGGTTGCAGTGAGCCGAGATCGCGCCACCGCACTTCAGTGTGGGTGACAGAGCGAGACTCCGTCTCAAAAAAAAAAAAGGCCTGGATTACGGTGGCTCACACCTGTAATCCCAGCACTTTGAGAGGCCGAAGCAGGTGAATCACCTGAGGTCAGGAGTTCAACACCAGCCTAGCCAATGTGGTGAAACTCTGCCCATGTTAAAAATATAAAAATTAGCTGGGCATGGTGGCGGGTGCCTGTAGTCCCAGCCACTTGGGAGGCTGAGGCAGGAGAATTGCTTGAACCCAGGAGGCGGAGGTTGCAGTGAGCTGAGATCGTGCCATTGCTCCAGCCTGGGTGACAAGAGCAAAAAACTCCATCTCAAAAAAAAAAATTATTGGAGATTCACCAGGTTTGTTCCATGTTTCAATAGGTCATTCCTTTTCTTATAGTTGTAAGGTAAGATGTACATATCATAGAACCAACCTCTTCAAAGTGTGCAATTCAGTGGTTTTTAGTACATTCACAAGATTGTGCAGACATCAACACTATCTAATTCAAGAAGCTTTATTTTGGGCCGGGTGTGGTGGCCATGTCTGTATTCCCAACACTTTGGGAGGCACAGCCGGGTGGATCACCTGAGGTCAGGAGTTCCGGACCAGCCTGGCCAACATGATGAAATCCCGTTTCTACTAGAAATACATAATATAGCCGGGCGCGGTGGCAGGCGCCTGTAATCCCAGTTACTCGGAAGGCTGAGGCAGGTGAATCGCTTGAACCTGGGAGGCAGAGGTTGCAGTGAGCCAAGTTCACACCACTGCACTCCAGGCTGGACAGAGTCAGACTCCTGTCTCAAAAAAAAAAACCTTTATTCCTTTATTTCATTACCTCTAAAGGAAACCCCATAGCCATTACCAGTCACTATTCCACCCATCCCCTAGCCTTTAGCTCCTAAAAACCACGAATGTATTTTCTGTCTCTATGAAGTTGCCTATCTTGGTTTTTCATATAAATTAATCATAAAAATATGTGGCCTATTGTGTCTGGCTTATTTCATATAGCATAATATTTTCAAGGTTCATCCATGTTGTACCACACGTATAAGTACAGTACTTCTTTTTTTCTCTTCTTTTCTTTTTTTTTTTTTTTTTGAGATAAGGTTTTGCTCTGTCACCCAGGCTGGAATGCAGTGGCCCGATCTCAGCTCATTGCAACCTCCACCTCCTAGGCTCAAGCGATCTTCCTGCCATAGCCTCCTGAGTAGGTGGGACTACAGGCATGCACCACCATGGCCAGCTACTTTTTTGTAGAGATGGGGTCTCACTATATTGCCTGGCCAACATGGCGAAACTCTGTGTGTACTAAAAATACAATAATTAGTGGGGCGTGGTGGCACATGCCTGTAATTCCAGCTACGTAGGAGGCAGAGGCACAAGAATCGCTTGAACCCAGGAGGCTGAGGTTGTAGTGAGCTGAGATCACACCACTGCACTCCAGCCTGGGTAACAGAGTGAGACTCTGTCTCAAAAAAAACTTTGTCTAGTAATTCCAACATCTGAGCTTCCTCAGTGGAAGTTTTTATTTACCGGTTTTTTTCTTCTTTTTTTCTTTCCTGTGTATGGGCTATGCTTTCTAGTTTATTTATTTTTTGAGATGGAGCCTCCCTCTGTCACCCAGGCTGGAGTGCAGTGGCATGATCTTGCCTCACTGCAGCTTCCGCCTCCTGAGTTCAAGTGATTCTGCCACCTCAGCCTCTTGAGTAGCTGGGATTACAGGCGTGCGCCACCACGCCCAGCTAATTTTTGTATTTTTAGTAGAGACAGAGTTTCACCATGTTGGCCAGGCTGGTCTCGAACTCCTGACCTCAGGTGATCCACCCACCTTGGCCTCCCAAAGTGCTGAGATTACAAGCGTGAGCCACTGTGTCTGGCCTACTTTCTAGTTTCTTTGCATTTTTTAATCTGGACATTTTAAATAATGTGGCAACTCTGAAATTCAGATTGTCTCCTTCCCAGGGTTTGTTGTGGCTGCTGTTTGTTTTTATTATCACTGCTGTTTAGTGACTTCTTTTTGTTTGTTTGTTTGTTTCTGAGATAAGGTCTCCCTCTTGTTGTCTAGGCTGGATTGTAGTGCATGATCATAGCTTACTGCACCTCAAACTCCTGGGTTCAAGCCATCTTCCCATGTCAGCCTCCCAAAGGCATGAGCTACTATGAGCCTGTTTAGCAACTTTTCTGAACTAATTCTATAAAGTGTGTATTCTTTGTTGTGTGTGGCCACTGAAGGCCCTGCTTCATTAGCTTACTGACCAGATAACGGTTAGGCAAAGGTTCCCTTAAATGCCTTGAACCATTACTTCTTCCAGCATTTGCCTAATGTGTGTCCATGTATGTTGGAGAATACCTAGAACACTCCCTCAGGTAGTTCACAACTGTGCCTTAGCCTTCACTTTTTCCTTGCCCAAAGCCTGAAGGTCCCCCACAAATAAGAGCTTAAGGCCTTCTTGGTTCTCTTCGTTGTTGTTGTTGTTGAGACGGAGTTTTGCTCTTGTTGCCCAGGCTGGAGTGCAATGGTGTGATGTCAGCTCACTGCAACCTCCATCTCCAGGATTCAAGCGATTCTCCTGCCTCAGCCTCCCGAGTACCTGGTATTACAGGCACACGCCACCACGCCCAGCTAACTTTTTTTGTATTTTTAGTAGAGACAGGATTTCACCACATTGGCCAGGCTGGTCTCAAACTCCTGACCTCAAGTGATCCACCCGCCTCACCCTCCGAAAGTGCTGGGATTACAGGCATGAGCCACCACACCCGGCCTTTTCTTGGTTCTTTCTTGGGCATGCTCACAGCCCTATGCATGGGCATGCATATGGCATTCCAGATATCCAGCAGTGTGTCAGAACTTTTCATAGACATCTCATTCCCCAGCTTTTCCTTTCATGCTTTTTGGTCTGTTGCTTGTTTACTCCAGCTCTTATCACCATCTCAACCAGCTATGATGTTAAACAACTGCCACTGATTTTTTGTGTTTTTAAAAATTTTGAGACTGGGTCTCGCTCTGTTGCCCAGATTGGAGTGCAGTGGCACAATCATGGCTCACTGAAGCCTCAACCTCCGGCTAAAACAATCTCAGCAACTGCTCAAGCAGTCTTCCCACCTTGGCCTCCCAAAGTGCTCAGATTACAGGCGTGAGCCACCGCACCTGTCCTTGAAATGCTTTTTCCTTTGACTTTCTGGAATCTTCTCTTGGCTCTGCTCCTGCCTCGATGGCTTCTCCTATTCAGTCTTGCTAGTTCCTCCTGGTTCCCCTGAGCCCTATATCTTAGCAATGTCCCACGTCTTAGTCCTAGAACCTCTTCTTTATTTACATCACTTGCTAGGTGATCTCTTTCATTTCATTTTATTTATTTATTTATTTGATATGGTCTTGCTCTGTTGTCCAAGCTGGACCAAAGTGGCACAATCTCGACTCACTGCAACCTCCACCTCCCGGGTTCAAGTGATTCTCCTGCCTCAGCCTCCCGAGTAGCTGGGATTACAGGCATGTGCCACCATACCCAGCTAATTTTTTTTCTTTTTTGAGACGCAGTTTTGCTCTTGTTGCCCAGGCTGGAGTGCAATGGTGCGATATCAGCTCACTGCAAACCTCTGCCTCCCGGGTTGAAGAGATTCTCGTGCCTCAGCCTCCCAAGTAGCTGGGATTACAGGCATGCACCACCATGCCCGGCTAATTTTGTATTTTTAGTAAAGACGGGCTTTCACCATGTCGTCCAGGCTGGTCTTGAACTCCTGACCTTAGGTGATCTGCCTGCCTTGGCCTCCTAAAGTGCTGGGATTACAGGTGTAGGCCACCATGCCCAGCCTTCTTTATCTTTAAAAAAAAAAAACAAAAAACAAAAAAACAAAAACAGTATACTGATGGCTCCTAAATTTGCACTGAGAAAATAAAACTAGGCTGGGAGCGGTGGCTTATGCCTGTAATCCCAGCACTTTGGGAGGCAGAGACAGGAGGATCCAGACCCTGTCTCTAAAAAAGAAAAAAAGGAGGCTGGGCACAGTGGCTCACGCCTGTAATCCCAGCATTTTGGGAGGCCAAGGCGGGCAGATCATTTGAGATCAGGAGTTCCAGACCAGCCTGGCCGACACAGTGAAACCCCATCTCTACTAAAAATACAAAAACTAGCCCTCGTGGTGGTGCACGCCTGTAATCCCCACTACTCAGGAGGCTGAAGCGGAAGAATCACTTGAACCCAGGAGACGGAGGCTGCAGTGAGCGGAGATTGTGCCACTGCACTCCAGCCTGGGCGACAGAGCAAGACTCCGCCTCGGGGAAAAAAAAAAGAGAAAAGACAAATAGCCCAAGGGCAGTCTGAGCTATGTAAAGTATGCAAAATTTATCAGTCCCAGAGAGAAAGGAGCATCTCAGCTCAGTCACATCCTCCACCCACCCACCCATGCCCAGGGGCAGTTGTTTAAAGAGATGTTGGGCCAGGCACGGTGGTTCATGCCTGTAATCCCAGCACTTTGGGAGGCCCAGGTGGGTGGATCACTTGAGGTCAGGAGTTCGAGACCAACCTGACCAACATGGTGAAACCCCGTCTCTACTAAAAATACAAAAATTAGCCGGGCATGGTGGCACGCACCTGTAATCCCAGCTACTCAGGAGGCTGAGGCAGGAGAATCGCTTGAACCCAGGAGGCAGAGGTTGAAGTGAGCCGAGATCACGCCATTGCACTCCAACCTGAGCAACAAGAGTGAAACTCCATCTCAAATAACCTTCTCTTGGGGTCTGGATTGGGACCCCTTTGTGGTAATAAAGGAGGGACACTAATATTAAAGCTGGCTCAACTGGGTCTGAGCAGAGTAATTTTTACCTTAGATATTTGTGTTTTGGGTGTGCACTTTCAGTTTACATTGGAAGCTGTCTCCCCAATTAAAAAAAATCATGTTTTGAGGAAGATTTTCTCTGAGATATAGATACAATTAATTTGAACAAGTCTGGAATACCTAAACTTTCATCCAACTTTCCACAGATTACTAGGTCATTGGAATATTGTCCATTTTATTTATGTATTTATTTTTAGAGACAGAGTCTCACTCT